>NC_000006.12:164464729-164616244 GCF_000001405.40 Homo sapiens
AGCAACATTAAGAGCAATCATTGAGCATCATTATATCCCTTAGTTTTCCAAAAATATTTGAAATTATAATATACAGTCATTCCTTGTTATCTACAGTGAATCAGTTCCAGGATTTCTGTGGCTATCAAAATCTGTAACTGCTCAATCCCTTATATAAAATGGCATAGTATTTGCATTAAGCTATGCACATCTTTCTGTATACTTTATCTCCAGGTGACTTAAATACCTAATACAATGCAAATGTCATGTAAATAGTTGTTACATTCTGTTGTTTATAAAATTTGTATTATTTGATATTGTTATATTGTTATTTTATTAGTTTCTTAAAAATACTTTTCATTCATGTTGGTTAAATCTGCAGATGTAAAATATGAGGTTACAGAGGGCCAACTGTATAGAGTCACCTAGCTCCTTGCTTCTTCTTAGTGTCTTTATAAGTAGTTTATACTCTGGGACTATCAGTGCACTCTTTATCACTGGAGATAGAGTCATTTGCATGTTTAGATTTTAGTATGAGAAATTGGCTCAGGTAATTATGGAGACAGAAATCTCAGGATCTGCCTTCTTTTCATTCTTTCTTTTTTTTTTTTTTCTTTTTTTTTTTTTTTGACAGGATCTCCCTCTGTTGCCCAGGCTGGAGTACAGTGGCGTGATCTTGGCTCACTGCAACCTCCGCCTCCCAGGTTCAAGTGATTCTCCTGCCTCAGCCTCCCAAGTAGCTGTGATTACAGGCGCCTGCCACCACGCCTGGCTAATTTTTGTGTATTTAGGAGAGACAGGTTTTCACCATGTTGGTCAGGCTGGTCTCAAACTCCTGACCTCAAGTGATCCGCCCACCTTTGCCTCCCAAAATGCTAGGATAACAGGCAAGAGCCACTGTACCCAGCCAGGATCTGGCTTCTATAAGCTGGAGACCACCAAGGAAAGCCAGTGGTATAATTCACTCTGACTCTGAAGTTCTGAAACCCAGAGGAGCTGATGGTGCAAATTCTACTCTGAGGGCTCAAGATGATGAGATGCCCCAGCTCAACCAGTGAGGCAGGAAAAAACAAAACAAAACCAAACAAAAACAAATTTATTCTTCCTCTGCTTTGGCTCTATCCAGACCCTCAACAAATTGAATGTTACCCATCTATATTGGGAAAGGCAATTTACTTAAAAAAAAAAAAAAAGTCCATCTCACCAGAAACACCTTCACAGATACACCCAGAAAAAAAAAAGTTAATTTGGGCATCCTGTGGCTTGACTTTAGTTTTTGGGTCTGGTATGCCAAGAAAGATTTTAATTTAATCATCATCCCCATAGTTTCCACCTAAACACAAAGTTAGCCTATTTTTTTGAATGTTTTATGTCCTGGCTCTTCCTCCTACTCCTCCTCTTTGTCTTCTGAAATAAATGTACTAGACAGTGCTTGTTTATAAAAATGAAAAACATTTTATTCAGATTAAAATTTGCTTTGCAGAAAAAACATTTTGTCAATAGTTTACTGCAAATCATTGAGAAAGACTGCTGCAAATTCATCATGAGATCTTCAAATGATGCATTTTTGCAGTTTTAAATTTTTCCACACACTGTAGACATACTTAAAACACAATTCATTTAGCAAATCATCTCCTTTTTTTCATTCACTTCTCATCAGTTTTTTGACAATGATCATTGCTTCCTATTGTATCAACATGGTCTCAATGATATCTGCATTTATTGTATCCACCGTTTCATAATGAAAGGTATTTTTCAGTTATTATAATGTTACATGCTGTCTTAAAGCTTTCTAGAAACCACAAAACTTATATAGTTTATTTCAATTTTATGCTTAAAATTATCTGGATGAAGTGTGGTGCTATATGCATGGCAAGGCTCTTAATTTCTCAGGCTTCATCTCTTTCAATACACTCACAATTTCAAACTGTCTTTTGATGTATAGACTTTGCTAGGTCTCTTAAGTTGCTTGGTTTTGTAACAAAGTATTTCACTATTCTAAAAGTTATTTTTATTTCATAATGGGAAGAAGACATTACAAATGATGCACACACAACATGTTTGAATATCAGGAGAATAAGCTGTATTTTTTTCAAAACGGAAGTAGAGATTCAACTGTGATTCCTGTATCTCATATTCCCAACAAGGCTTGCATACAACTGAAAGGTCGAGTGGAGAAATCTTATCCACACGGCCCCTAACCAACATGGTTTGACGTATGATTCTTCAACTTTACGATGGTGAATGTACACAAGTAATACACTTTCAGTGGAGGTAGTACTTCCAATTTTTGGCTGGGAGTGGTGGCTCATGCCTGTAATCCCAGCAATTTAGGAGGCTAAGGCTGGCGGATCGCTTGAGCTCAGGAATTCAAGACCAGCTTGGGCAACTTGGCAAAACCCCATCTCTACTAAAAATACAAAAAATTAGCTAGTCATGGTGGCTCATGCTTGTAATCCCAGCTACTCAGGAGGCTGAGGCAGGAGAATCGCTTAAACCCAGGAGGTGGAGGTCGCAGTGTGCCAAGATCACGCCACTATACTCCAGCCTGGGCAACAGAGTTAGACCCTGTCTCAAAAAAAAAAAAAAAGATTTTTGTTCTTTTCCTGGTCTAATGAGAGGCCGTAGATGCTCACCCTCCAGTTAGCCACAGAATCATATGGGTCAACAACGAATATTCGATAATGAGCTGTGTTGCCAGGTGATTTTTGCCCAACTGTAGGCTCATAGAAGTGTTCTGATCATGTTTAAGTTAGGCTAGGCGAAATTATGATGCTTCACAGATCAGGTGTATTAACTGCATTTTTGATTTACAATATTTTCTATGTATGATGGGTCTGTTGGGGCATCACCCCATCATAAGTTGAGCAGCATCTGTATGATAAGTTCTGGTTCCATGCCCAACATAGTCTTTATGGATAAAATTTCTCCACTCGACCTTTCAGTTGCATGCAAGCCTTGTTGGGAATACGCTAACTACAAGCTCACTTCGCTCACTTCACGTTATCTCTTTTTAATAGTACTTGGCTAGAAACCACAAAAGTTATTAGAACAGAGTTTATCCTGCATCTTAAAAATTACCTACAGCATAATAAACAGGTATCCTAGAGACACATACATATGTATACACATATATTATTTGAATTACATATTCTTGATTCTAGGAATCTAGATAAAGAATAACTTTATAGAGTTGGCACCCTATTTAAAAAATACTAATAGAAAGCATCATTCATATAGACACTTAACTCGCATAATTCTGCAAGATAGGTACTTTCTTAATTAAAAGTAACCAAGATAAATGAAGTTTTCGTTGTCCTCATTCGTATCATCCTCTTTGATCACTCAATTTAATTATCCGCACCATACTGAAATAGATCTCACACTGTTTCATGCCCTGTTGACCTACTTCCTAGATTCAGGGTTGATAAGTAGTTGAAATTCAGGGTGCGAATTATAGCATCTTTATTATCTGTTTATATAACTCAAGATATTTGTTCCTATTTGAGAAGCAGTATACAACAATGATTACAAGCAAATATTTGAATCCCAACCCCTTGACTTACTACTGGCATGACTTTGAGCAAGTAAACTAATGTCACTTTATTTCAGGATTACCACATGTAAAATGGGCTTCATGCCTACTCACAAGGTCAAATGAAGTATGTATTGTATTAAATGTTTTGCGCAAATACTGCCTCATCGAAAGCACCAGATAGTTACTAGAGTTGCTATATTCTACTATAAGATTTGCCTATTATTTTGTTTGATTTGCATTCCACATCAATGCACACATTTCAAAATTATCCAATGTGTCTGACGCTAAGATTCTGGTGTGGTTCATCCTCTCTGCTCACTGAGAAAGTGTTTTATTTAAAACACTGACTATTGGCCAGGCACGGTGGCTCATGCCTGTAATCCCAGCACTTCGGGAGGCTGAGGCTGGAGGATCACGAGGTCAGGAGATCGAGAGCATCGTGGCTAACACAGTGAAACCCTATCTCTACTAAAAATACAAAAAATTAGCCGGGCATGGTGGTGGGCGCCTGTAGTCCCAGCTACTTGGGAGGCTGAGGCAGGAGAATGGTGTGAACCCAGGAGTCGGAGCTTGAAGTGAGCAGAGATCGTGCCACTGCACTCCAGCCTGGGGGACAGAACGAGACTCCTTCTCAAAAGAAAAACAAAACAAAACAAAACACTGACTATTAAGGCAGAAAAAACTTCAAAATATCTCCACAGTATACTATAGTTGCTTTCTGTATCATGCAGAGAAACATAATTTTGCTTTTTAAAAAAATGTTCATGGTGACTTTATGCATCTGAAGTAAAATATATATAGGTTAGTTGAGTAATAGGAGGCTCTTAGAGTGGACAATTGACATTAAGATCATACGATTGAAAACATGAACTTTCTATTACATAGAATATACAAAATTCATAAAGAATAATATAAGCTTTTCACCAGATATTAAGGTGAATTTGATATGGGAATTCTACAGTATAAGACAGACACAAAAATATAAACATTACAAAGAGTTTTTATTTTGATGTAATTTTTTCATAATATGCTATGACAATATTCAATAATAATTTTTAAAAGAATATTTCTGTGCGTATCTTTTTTTTTTATTTTAAACTATGCTGGTCATATGGATACGATGGTTTTGAAATCTAAATGGGACAGCAGCTTCCCCAGATCTCGCTCTCAGGAGAAATTTAAGGCTGTACTGGCACAAATAGCAGAGCTCAATACTTCTGCATCTCTGAGAAAGTTGGTGTGGCCACGCAAGGACAGCAAGCACTAATGAGAATCCCGCAGGGACAAAAGTTGAGCTTCCAAATCTTTTTTTTTTTTAATTTTACCTTGAAAATATGACATTTCAGAAGCTTCAGACCACTTTTCTCAATTAGGCTTTTAGAGAATGTATGGTCTGAAGATGTTTACGTACATTAATACTGAGGGTGGAAATTTCAAGCTATTTTTGGAGTGAGTGATGATTCGCCATTATCATCTGAAAAGAGCTCACATCCTAGTGATCCCTAGGGAAAAACGAATGGGCTGTGGAAAGTAGAGTTATAACCGCACCAAGGCAGTGTCTAAGTGTACTGAGACTGGTTTGCTTCCTTTCTCATCTGTTCAACTAAAGACTTCCATTCTCATGAGATTTAAACAGGCAACTTGGAGTGTTAAATAATTTCTAAGAAATTATGTAAAAACACTCAGTTCTACAATTTGAAAGAAAGTCAAGCTACCATTCTAATTATTCATGTTATACATGTAGAAAAAAATTTTCATTTAGAAAAAAAGTCTTTCAACTGATTGTTTATTGGCAATTTCAGCTATTTACTATTTCATTAAGCTATTGTACTGAGTTTATCATATTGATTACAATTTAAACTTAATTATAAATTGATTAATAAAAATATTTCTTGTGTGTCCTTGTTCCTTTGTGTTGAAATATATTAACAATTCAAACAAAAATTATTTCTAAAGCAATTCTGTTATTTAAATTAGGCAATGAAATTGTATTATTTAATAACAATGCAATGAACTTTGACTGTTTTATAATCTTCCAAGTACTCTCACATATTATATTGCATCTGATTCTTATGTTAACTTTGTAGGATACGTATGTCAGTGCCATAGGTCTACAACAGTAGTGTTAAAAGAAAACTTCAGCCAAATTAAATTTAGCAGTGTATTTGAGCAAATAACAATTCATGAATTGAACAGCACTCAGAACCCAGAGTGGTATAGAGAGCTCCACCAAGTAATGTGGATAGGCAGTGTATAGAGATAAAAAGAAACTGACATACGGAACTATCCTGATTTGGTTACAGCTGGACATTTGTCATATTTGGGCATGGTGTGACAAGATGTTTGTTTTATATGGACATATTCTGATTAGTTGACAACCTGTCAACCAATTGGCTGAAGCTTACCTGCAATAATCAGCTGAGATAGAGCTGTTTGTTACATCATGTTAGGTTGCAGTTTGCTTACATACTAAATTATGTTAAAGTTTGCTACATATGAATGCAAGATACAGAGGCAGCATTAGGACAAATTTAATTTGATTTAACAATTCTCCCCTTTTGGTCAGCCTTTTAATTTTGAGAGATTCACCAAAACTTTGGTTGTTGATGCCATTGTTTGTCACCATCATAATGGACTTGTTTAGTCTCAGTATGGAGTTCGAAATTCTTGAAGTCAGCTCAGCTGAGTCTTTCTTTCTTTCTTTCTTTTTTTTCTTTATTTCTTTTTTCTTTCTTCTTTCTTTCTCTCTCTTTCTTTCTTTCTTTTTTTCTTCTCTCTCTCCCTTCCTTCCTTCCTTCCTTCCTTCCTTCCTTCTTTCCTTCCTTCCTTCCTTCCTTCCTTCCTTCCTTCCTTCCTTCCTTCCTTCCTTCCTTCCTTCCTTTCTTTCTTCCTTTCTCTTTCTTCTTTCTTTTTGAGACAGGGTTGGCTTTATCAGTCTAACTGCTGAAGTACAGTGGTGTGATTATGGCCACTGCAACCTCTAATTCCTGGGCTCAAGTGATCCTCCTGACTCAGCCTCCTAAATAGCTGGTACTAAAGGCACACATCATCTTTCCCAACTATTCTTTTTAAAAAATTTTTGCAGAGAATAAGGTTTTGCTATGTTGCCCAGGCTGATCTTGAACTCCTGGCCACAAGCAATCCTTCCACCTCCCAAAGTGCTGAGGTTATAGGTGTGAGCCATTGGTGAATGTTTCGTTATGTTCTCTTCATGTTTTTGTTATTCTAACTATAGTGAGAACACTTGACTTATAAGGAAAGGCTGCAAGCAAGCATTTCAGACTCTTGAGAGGATAAAGCTCATCAGAAAAGCTATTATGATGGCTATTGGGAGGATGATACTAAAAGACTGACCTATACTCCTTAACAGGAGTCTCCACAAACTGAACTAGTTAAAATCAAATATATATATAAATGAGCGGGAAGAGAAATCTACCTGCTTTAGCCAAATAGCTTTTTTGTTGATTTAATACAGCTTAGTTACTACTATCTAACTGTCCAACATATGTATCAAATGCAGTAGGAGGTATTTCCTATCACATGTACTCCCTGTGTTCAGACAACAGACAGTTCAAAGCAATACAATTATCTAAAGCAACTTTAGCAAGGGAATTTAAAGAAGTCTGCTGGGCAACTATAACATTTGCAGTGGAGTCAGCTATAGTAGCTAATATTTGAGAGATTTCTAATTATAAACCCATTTACATTTATGTCAAGTCAAGGTAGTAACATGATATGGTTTGGCTGTGTCCTCACTCAAATCTCATCTTGAATTGTAGTGCCCATAATCCCCAAATGTCATGGGAGAGACCTGGTGGAAAGTGACTGGATCATGGGGGCAGTTTTCCCCATGCCGTTCTTGTGACAGTGAGTGAGTTCTCATGAGATCTGATGTTTTGTAAGTGGCTTCCCCTTTCACTCAGCACTCATGCTGTATTCTGCCACCCTGTGAAGAGATGCCTTCTGCCATGTTTGTAAGTCTCCTGAGGCCTCCTCAGACCTGCAGAACTGTGAGTCAATTAAAACTCCTTTCTTAAAAAATTACCCAGTCTCAGATATTCCTTCATAGCAATATGAGAATGGACTAACATAAAACATTTTATTTAAAAAATGCCCATTTAAATACGTCCCATCAATACCTAATTTATTGAGAGTTTCTAGCATGAAGGGTTGTTGAATTTTGTCAAAGGCCTTTTCTGCATCTATTGAGATAATCATGTGGTTTTTGTCTTTGGCTCTGTTTATATGCTGGATTACATTTATTGATTTGTGTATATTGAACCAGCGTTGCGTCCCAGGGATGAAGCCCACTTGATCATGGTGGATAAGCTTTTTGATGTGCTGCTGGATTCGGTTTGCCAGTATTTTATTGAGGATTTTTGCATCAATGTTCCTCAAGGATATTGGTCTAAAATTCTCTTTTTTGGTTGTGTCTCTGCCAGGCTTTGGTATCAGGATGATGCTGGCCTCATAAAATGAGTTAGGGAGGAATCCCTCTTTTTCTATTGATTGGAATAGTTTCAGAAGGAATGGTACCAGTTCCTCCTTGTACTTCTGGTAGAATTCGGCTATGAATCCATCTGGTCCTGGACTCTTTTTGGTTGGTAAGCTATTGATTATTGCCACAATTTCAGATCCTGTTATTGGTCTATTCAGAGATTCAACTTCTTCCTGGTTTAGTCTTGGGAGAGTGTATGTGTCAAGGAATTTATCCATTTCTTCTAGATTTTCTAGTTTATTTTCGTAGAGGTGTTTGTAGTATTCTCTGATGGTAGTTTGTATTTCTGTGGGATCGGTGGTGATATCCCCTTTATCACTTTTTATTGTGTCTATTTGATTCTTCTCTCTTTTTTTCTTTATTAGTCTTGCTAGCGGTCTATCAATTTTGTTGATCCTTTCAAAAAACCAGGTCCTGGATTCATTAATTTTTTGAAGGGTTTTTTGTGTCTCTATTTCCTTCAGTTCTGCTCTGATTTTAGTTATTTCTTGCCTTCTGCTAGCTTTTGAATATGTTTTCTCTTGCTTTTCTAGTTCTTTTAATATCTCAAAATAATAAGAGCTATCTATGACAAACCCACAGCCAATATCACACTGAATGGGTAAAAACTGGAAGTATTCCGTTTGAAAATTGGCACAAGACAGGGATGCCCTCTCTTACCACTCCTATTCAACATAGTGTTGGAAGTTCTGGCCAGGCAATTAGGCAGGAGAAGGAAATAAAGGGTATTCAATTAGGAAAAGAGGAAGTCAAATTGTCCCTGTTTGCAGATGACATGATTGTATATCTAGAAAACCCCATTGTCTCAACCCAAAATCTCCTTAAGCTGATAAGCAACTTCAGCAAAGTCTCAGGATATAAAATCAATGCACAAAAATCACAAGCATTCTTATATACCAATAACAGACAAACAGAGAGCCAAATCATGAGTGAACTCCTATTCACAATTGCTTCAAAGCAAATAAAATACTTAGGAATGCAACTTACAAGGGACGTGAAGGACCTCTTCAAGGAGAACTACAAACCACTGCTCAATGAAATAAAAGAGGATACAAACAAATCGAAGAACATTCCATGCTCATGGGTAGGAAAAATCAATATCATGAAAATGGCCATAATGCCCAAGGTAATTTATAGATTCAATGCCATCCCTATCAAGCTGCCAATGACTTTCTTCACAGAATTGGAAAAAACTACTTTAAAGTTCATATGGAACCAAAAAAGAGCCCACATAGTCAAGTCAATCCTAAGCCAAAAGAACAAAGCTGGAGGCATCATGCTACCTGACTTCAAACTATACTACAAGGCTACAGTAACCAAAACAGCGTGGTACTGGTACCAAAACAGAGATATAGATCAATGGAACAGAACAGAGCCCTCAGAAATAACAACGCATATCTACAACTATCTGATCTTTGACAAACCTGACAAAAACAAGAAATGGGGAAAGGATTCCCTATTTAATAAATGGTACTGGGAAAACTGGCTAGCCATATGGAGAAAGCTGAAACTGGATCCCTTCCTTACACCTTATACAAAAATCAATTCAAGATGGATTAAAGACTTAAACGTTAGACCTAAAACCATAAAAACCCTAGAAGAAAACCTAGGCATTACCATTCAGGACATAGGCACGGGCAAGGACTTCATGTCTAAAACACCAAAAGCAATGGCAACAAAAGCCAAAATTGACAAATGGGATCTAATTAAACTAAAGAGCTTCTGCACAGCAAAAGAAACTACCATCAGAGTGAACAGGCAACCTACAAAATGGGAGAAAATTTTCGCAACCTACTCATCTGACAAAGGGCTAATATCCAGAATCTACAATGAACTCAAACAAATTTACAAGAAAAAAACAAACAACCCCATCAAAAAGTGGGCAAAGGATATGAGCAGACACTTCTCAAAAGAAGACATTTATGCAGCCAACAGACACATGAAAAAATGCTCATCATCACTGGCCATCAGAGAAATGCAAATCAAAACCACAATGAGATACCATCTCACACCAGTTAGAATGGCGATCATTAAAAAGTCAGGAAACAACAGGTGCTGGAGAGGATGTGGAGAAATAGGAACACTTTTACACTGTTGGTGGTACTGTAAACTAGTTCAACCATTGTGGAAGTCAGTGTGGCGATTCCTCAGGGATCTAGAAGTAGAAATACCATTTGACCCAGCCATTCCATTAATGGGTATATAACCAAAGGATTATAAATCATGCTGCTATAAAGACACATGCACAAGTATGTTTATTGCAGCACTATTCACAATAGCAAAGACTTGGAACCAACCCAAATGTCCAACGATGATAGACTGGATTAAGAAAATGTGGCACATATACACCATGGAATACTATGCAACCATAAAAAAAGATGAGTTCATGTCCTTTGTAGGGACATGGATGAAATTGGAAATCATCATTCTCAGTAAACTATCGCAAGGACAAAAACCAAACACCGCATGTTCTCACTCATAGATGGGAATTGAACAATGAGAACACATGGACACAGGAAGGGGAACATCATACTCTGGGGACTGTTGTGGGGTGGGGGGAGTGGGGAGGGATAGCATTAGGAGATATACCTAATGCTAAATGACGAGTTAATGGGTGCAGCACACCAGCATGGCACATGTATACATATGTAACAAACCTGCACATTGTGCACATGTACCCTAAAACTTAAAGTATAATAATAATAATAATAAAAATAATAAGAGACTACCTAAAAAAAAAATAAAATAAAAAATGCCCATTTAGAAAGATTTATACCTGTTGGCAAATTGATCTTATTCCATAGTGCAAATTCGTAAGTTCAGACTAATGTCAGTTTCCAATTGGTTATGGAGTAACAGTGGCATTGTTAGAATTCCTAATACACATTGCCCCCTTCCTTTCCACTTACGAGACTTGGGGTTGCCCACATGTATGGTTAAATGATCATTATGTTCTTAAGTCCTCCACAGACAAAAACATGTCCTGGAGGGGCACAACAGACAGTTCCTCATGGATTACCTTGTGCATTAGGAGTTACCAGTAGAAAAGCATTAGTCATGTTTATCTAAGGCTCCATTATTGAATCATTGCATGGTTGGAGGATACCGACAATTAAGGGATTAAGGTTATAAACCTGTCTACAAACTGTCCAATTATCCTTCTTTTGGTTTCCTTATTTAATTTCTGGTAAAATCTAACTGCAAAACCTTCACTAAAGGTTTTTTCTAGTGTCAGATTTAAACAAGAAGTCTGAATAGAAAAATCTTATAGCCTAATCCTATGGAAAGATCAGATATACTTGGAATATCTGTAAAATTTGCTACAGTGTGAACCACTGAATCTCTAAGATCATGTAAGAATTTAGGTTTAACATGACATAACCAACATTCATTTAAGCTCCCTGTGGAAGCTATCAGTTGTAATATTAGTAATCATATTATCTTGCCATGAATAAACAGAGAATAAGCATACAGAAAATAGGAAAGAGGACAAAGGTTTCATAGTGACAGACAGAAGTCTTAAATCATGATTTTAGGAAAGCCATTTATCTGCTAACAGGATGCCATTTGTTTCTAGGGGAAAATCTTTGCTGACCAGCTTTACCTTGAGGTCTCCAATGCGTGTATAGTCTTCAGAGTCTGGAGGAGTCCTCTTGAGTTAAGTTGATTGACATTGATGGCACAAGATCAGTCAACTCAATTTGAGCCAATACTTGAGGCCCTGAAGTTTTGCTACAGAGATGAACTTGGTATGCTCTTTTCCAAAGGGATTCAAGGGAAGTCCTTTTATAATGCTGTATCTGCAAGACCTAATCTACAGGTTCTAGATGATGAAAGGTCTGGTTTTCATTAGTTGGGGGATCACAAAGGGCTTATTTTACATGGGAAAAGTCTACTTTGGCATAATGCATTAAATACCTGGAATATTGAGTCTTGTCAGATTTTATAAGAGCACGAGATACGTATGTTTCCATTATGAGAGGGCCAGGCCTTCCAGTAACTATTTCATTAGAGGTCAATCTATGGTCCCTACTAGGAGTAGATCTTATTGCCATCAAAGTCAATGGTAATACCTTTGGCCAAGGCAATTCAGTTGATTCAGTTAGTATTGCCTGATGCCACTGAGTTTGTTGTAATACCTTATTTAATTGTTGTATAAAATTGTCCAAGAAAACAGGTTATTTTATTTCTGGAGATTTATCCAGGGGTACTCCAAAAAGAAAACACATTTTCTAATAACCTTTTTAGCTACTGATATAGCATTAGTCTATTTGCATGGAAAAGCTTCTATGCAATCAGAAAACATGCAGGGCAGGGCAGGGGCAATTGAATAAAATCCAACTATACGTGTTCAAATGATCCAGCAGATACTGGAAATGTAAAACCCGAGATTTTTTATTGTCTTATCAGAATATGGGTTTGATACTTGAAACATCAGTTATAAATCATCTCAGCAATTTTAGAACAGTCTCACTGCATCAGTTTTTTAAAATAATTTATATCATTTTATCCACCCCACAATGAGTCATGGAGTGCAGAGCTCTTAGTAATGAAATCTTTAAGGACTCAGCAAGGGGCAGGCAGCAATCCAGGCTTTCCATGAGTCTGTGCTTAAAATTGATTTGCATCTTCTTAAATACCAGTTTTGTTTCTCCAATTTAGCTGCATACCATTACAAAACAATAGGTTATTATAGGGAATTTGAATGGGATCAATACTATGGAGTTGATTCAAATGGCATATTTAAACAATTTCAGTATTGGTTGACTTAGCCTGAGAATCTGCTAAAGCATTTCCTTGGTATTCTTTTCTTGCTTGACATTGGTTAACAGTTTTCTGAAACCAATCAGAGTTCTGCAAATTCTTACCCGGTGTAATGGTATAATCATATTTCTAGGAATTTCATGTAATTTCTGGAGCACATATTAATAGAACATCTACACAAATACAACTCAAAGAGAGTTTAGCATTATGTATTATTTCACAATGCTTCTCATATAATTTAATTTATCAGATAAGTTTAATTAGTTTAATATCTGTCTTTTCATAAGGAAAAATATCCTTTTGAGAAGTTTTGAGCACCCATCAAGAAAAACTCTAAGTTAATTAAAGATATAAAAAAGGTTTTAATACTGAATCTGATTTCGGGGAGTTTGTAAAACATACCAAGGGTTTAAGCACTTGATCAAAAGAGGATCACAGGCCACTGTGAACAACAGTCATTCCTGTAACCACAGTGATTATTTAAAGGCATGAGAAGCAAATTGAGAGAGTTACAGAGTTATAGAAAAACCTTAAGCTTTTTAAATAGAGAGGACTCAATCTTCTTAAGGAATCAAGAACCTAATAACGGCAACATAGAGCACAGAAAGTTATCTTGGTAAAACACAGAAACTTTATTTTCTAGGCCAATTACATAACAGGTAAATAAAAACCTTTCACAATTTTCTATTAAAAGACAATCCATACTTCAAAAAAAATTCTGGTTTTGACACAGAGGATCATTTTCTAGTTTTGTGTCAGTGTGTCAAAATATTAATGCTCAATTTTTAGAAAAACTTATAAATAATTCCTTTTTAATCTTAACCAGCTTGATCACACTAAAATTCCTTTCAAAAGAGTTATTTTCCACAAATGTTCTTCAACTTTCTTATCCATTCAGTTTTTGTCCTATACTTTTCCTCTTCTTACTTTGGAACAAGTCATTCTACTTTAGAACAAAAATTACTCTTTTTTCCTCATACAAAACATCCTAATACCTTATAGCTTTTTCTTACCAAAAGCACATCTTATGGTTCTTGCATACTTGCATATAAAGTTGTTTCCTTTATTATTCTGAGTAACGTTAGTTACATATGTTAATTAGAATTCTTAACCCTTACTGACCTTAATTGCCAGGGAACACCAGGAAGCAAGCAATTGTGAACTGCATGTTCCATCAGCATTCTGCAGACTGGCAAATCTATGAACGACAATTTCTAGAAGTATGTGCTTTCTGTTAGTACAATTTATCATTATGGCAAGCATATCCTCCCTGATAGTCCCAAATAACTTTAGTCTTTCTGTAATAAGAATCTGTAGAAGCAGCAAATTTTTATCTGTATCTTTTTAGGTTTTCTGGCTAGGTTTGAAAATTAAACTGTTGTTTGTACAGAATTCTCTCAGCCTCAACTTTCCATTCTTGATAATAAGAATGTTAGAAGCTTCTAGTATAGGAAGGATATCTTTCCCATGCAAATTTTCTCTGACCTCTACCTATTTAAAACTCACTTGTTAACAATTTTGCTTGCATTACCTCTAATATCACTTTAAAGTACATAAAGCCAGAAAATGACTACCTTTAAAGGAACGGTCCACAATTCCTAGGGGAAGATTTTAATTTATTTCTATTGGTAATTGGTAGAATTAGTGGACAGAAATTAGTAAGCATATTGATGATTTGAACAACATGATTAACAAGCTTGTCCTAATTTACATATATGATACACTGCATCCCACAACTGCAGAATACAATTTTTTCAAGTAAATATGGAATGTTTTCCAAATCTGACTGTATGTTGAACCATAAAGCTAATTGCAACAAATTCCAATAATTTTCAAATGATCAAAATTATTTTAAAAATGATTATTAAAAAGGTAGTTATCTCAAGAAAAGCTAAACTTTAGATATTAATTAGTAACTAAAGGGAGAAATATAGAAACAAAGATGTTTATTGAAACAGGATGCACCCTAAAATGTGAAATGAACTCAAGCCATTGACTTTCCAGGGATGATTATTTTCTGGTGATTAGTACAGGAGACCATGCTATTAGACCTTTAGAGAAGTAAATATAATTCTAGCATACTCTCTGTCCTGAAATTAAGATACTTTTCCATAATTAATATTATGTAAATTTTATTTTTTTTTGGATTTTAAGCTTTTTTTTTTTTTTTCCTTTAAGGGTTAAGCTATAGGTAAGCAGACTTAGTTATGGTTGCAAGACTAATGCTAAATGCTAACTTTCACAATATAAAGACAAATTTATAGCTAATAAATAATAGGATAATAAAGGGAGGAAGAAAGTTCAAAGAAAGATTAGGCTTATCAATATATCCTTAATATCAATACTAGAAAAAGAAAATTTTTTAAATTTTGAAAGAAAAGTAAAACTACAATAATGTAAATAGCATTTGTAAGTCAAAGGTTGAAAAAATAGAGTCTTTAGCTAATTTATCTTTTATTGTGTGAAATAATCAATAGTAAATTGATCTAGTATTTGCTCCAAGCTCTTTATTGTAATCATGAAATAAACCACCAAAAGAACTCAAAGAGGAACAGAAAAAGAAAACCTTGGGAGATTACGAGTGGAGTTAACAAAAATGGGAAAAAATAGCTTCTTTCTATCCTATGTATGATTTGCTTGTGTGTGTGTAACACTCTATGAGAGAAATTCTAAAATAAATTTAAAAATATATATTTAGAGTAAAAATCATAGTGCTATGTCAGTATTATGGTCAAAATGGCATAGCCAAAACTCTTGGGTTAACATAGCAGGGAGGCTCACAATTAAATACAAATATGCCTCCAACAGAATGCTTAAAGTTAAAACAAAATGCTAATGCTGATAACACTAAGTCTAGGATGCAGAGTTACTGGAATTTTCATATCTTGCTGGTGGGAGTGTAAAGTGTTTCAACTGCTTTTGGAAACTATTGCACTTTACAATAAAATTAAAATTACATTTAGCTTCCTGATCTATTTTTTTAGAGACATATGTCCAAGAGAAATAAATATACATGTACAAGAATGTTCTTACCAGCTTTATTCATCATATCCCAAAACAGAAACAACTCAAATGCTTCTCGATAGGAGAATAAACAAATTGTAGTGTATTCATATAATGCAAAACTACTCAGCAATAAAGCATAATCAACTTTGGATACAAACAACACGATATGTTTCAAAAGCCTTATGGTGAGAGAAAGAAGTCATTAACAAAATAATGTATATTGCATTATTTCAATTATATCAATGTCATAGACAGGCAAAACTATGATAATGGAAGTCAGATTCTTGATTGCTTCTGCGGACAAGGGGGTTGCTGACTGAAAAGCAGCCTGAGGAAACTTTCCAGAGCATTGGAAAGGTTCTGTACATTAATTCAGTGGAGAGTATATGGATGTGGAGATATATAAAATACCATTGGGCAGAACATGAGAGTTAAACATTATGCTTCACGTAAATCATACCTTAATGAATAAAGCAATGAAAAATAACAGGAAAAAATACCTTGTATTCATTAGGCATTGATTTGGTTGCTGGTATGTGGGATATCCAAGAAATATTTAGTATTATTAACAGAAATGATCATTTCTAGAGTCTATAATATGTATCGGTGAGGGCAGTTTCAGCTGCAAATGACAGAAAATTTGTTAAACACTGGATTAACAAATGATTTCGTTCACCTCACCTTCTGTGTAGTGTCACCAACAAGGCCAGGAGTCTGGGTTCCCATTATTATTTTCTCTCTGTGCCCCAACTAAATCACAGTTACAAAATGGCTGTGCAGTGCTGAACGCTGCTTCTGCATTTCAATTAGGAAGAGGAGAAACGATTCATTAAGGTCTGTCCCTTTTATTAGAAAATTAAGTGTTTCATGAATTCCTAGAACAGATTTCCCTTTACAAAGGTTGTTGGTAAGCAAGAATAACTTTAAGCCTCAATGCTGGTGGCAGGAAGGGTGTTGGGATTAGGGAGAGCTATTCCATTAGCTAATGAACAGTACAGACTATGGTATGTGATGTTTATTTATATAATTCTGTCTCATCAATCAAATCAGTTCGTCTAAGTTATCTACTGGGGGGATTTCAAATTCATGGCAGGCAGGGGCCACACAACACATTTCATCTGTTTTTCCCTACTTCATGTAAAATAAACAGGCAAATTTTCTCCATATTTGATTAACCTTCATCAAGATATTTTTTCATGTAACACTGAGAACATAATAAAAGACTTATCAGACACCCCCACCCCCATTTCCAAATGAGTCTGCAGGTCCTCACTACAGTATGATTGCATTCAGCACACTGCTCCAGAGACACTGATGTTCCAGTCTGGAGGCTTACACATGGGCTGAGTGGCTTTTCCTAAAGAAGATGTAAGCCACAAGTTTCACCATTAGATAACATCTGAGGTGTTCTTTTTTTTTTTTTCTCAACTCTGAGATTTTATTTTAAAAAATGTAAATTTTCAATTGAAAAAGAAAAACATAATGTGCCTTCTGACACACTATCATTCTAACTTTTCAATTCTAGAGACCTAACTTCGGGTAATATAATGTCTCATGTCAAATAGAAACATTCTGACCTTCTGTTTTCTACATTAGAAAATGGCCTGACTGAGGAGAAGATTAAATGTGACATACATAGGAAGGGGAGCCTGAAAGTTCTACTGAAGTTGAATAATGGGATTCTGGGCCCTCAGCTTATCTCTGGCTACTGTGTGGTACTGAATCAAGCATTCCCTTGGTTCTGCCCTCTGTGTGGTGCAGATTTTGGTACTGAATATGCTTCTTCATGAATATAACCAGAAATTTAATATACTATCAATTTAAGATATGCATCATCACATTAGTCCATTTTCACACTGCTGATAAAGACATACCCAAGACTGGGTAATTTATAAAGAAAAAGAGGTTTAGTGGACTCACAGTTCCACATGGCTAGGGAGGCTTTACAATCATAGTGGAAGGCAAAAGACATGTCTTACATTGCAGCAGATAAGAAAGAATAAGAACCAAGTGAAAAGGGAAACCCCTTAAAAAAACATTGAATCTCATGAGACTTATTCCCTACCATGAGAACAGTATGGAAAAAATCACTCCCGTGATTCAATTATCTCTCCATCTGTTCCCTCTCATGACACATGGGAATTATGGGAACTACAATTCAAGATGAGATTTGGGTGGGGACACAAAGCCAAACAATATCATTCTGCCCCGGCCCCTCCCAAATCTCATGTCCTCCCGTTTCAAAACCAATCATGTCTTCCCAACAGTTCCCCAAAGTCTTAACTAATTTCAGCATTAACTCAAAAGTTCATATTCCAAAATCTCACCTGAGACACGGCAAGTCCCTTCTGCATTTGAGCCTTTAAAATCAAAAGCAAGTTAGTTACTTCCTAGATACAATGGGGGTACAGGCATTGGGTGAATACAGCCATTCCGAATGGGAGAAATTGGACAAAACAAAGGGAATACAGGCCCCATGCAAGTCCAGAACCCAATGGGGCAGTCAAATCTTAAAGCTCCAAGATGATCTCCTTTGACTCTGTGTCTCACATCTAGGTCACACCGTTGCAATAGGGGGGTTCCCATGGTCTTGTGGAGCTCCATCCCATGGCTTTGCAGAGTACAGCACCCCTCTTGGCTCCCTTCATGGGCTGGCATTCAGTGTCTGCAGCTTTTCCAGGTGCACAATGCAAGCTGTCAGTGGATCTACCATTCTGGGCTCTGGAGGATGCTGGCCCTCTTCTCACAGCTCCACTAGGCAGTGCCCCAGTGGGGACCCTGTGTGGGAGCTCCAACTCCACATTTCCCTCTTACACTATCCTAGTAGATGCTCTCCATGAGGGCTCCACCCCTGCATCAAACTTCTGCCTGGACATGCAGGTGTTTCCATACATCCTCTGAAATCTAGGTGGGGATTTGACACCTTCAAGAATTGACATCTACAAGTCAATTATTGACTTCTGTGTACACAGAGGCTGAACACCATGTGGAAGCTGCCAAGGCTTGGGGCTTGTATCCTTTGCAGCCATGGCCTGAGCTGCACCTTGGCCCTTTTTAGCCACAGCTGGATCAGCTGGGATGCAGGGTACCAAGTCCCTAGATTGCACACCACAAGGGAGCCTTGGGTCCAGCCCACAAAACTATTATTTCCTCCTAGTCCTCTGGATCTGCCAAAAAAGTTTCTGACATGCCCTGGAGATATTTCCCCATTGTCTTGGTGATTAACATTGTGCAATTTTTTGCAGCAGGCTTGAATTTCTCCCCAGAAAAATGAGTTTTTCTTTTCTATTGCATGGTCAGGCTGCAAATTTTTCACATTTTTATGCTCTGTTTTCTCTTGAACACTTTGCTGCTTAGAAATTTCTTTCACCCGATACCCTAAATCAACTTTGTCAAGTTCAGAGTTCCACAGATCGCTAAGGCAGGGGAAAAATGCTGCCAGTCTCCTTGTATAGCAAGAGTGACCTTTACTCCAGTCCTCAACAAGTTCCTCATCTCCATCTGAGACCACCTCAGCCTAGACCTTATTGTCTATCTCACTATGAGCATTTTGGTCAAAGCCATTCAACAAGTCTCTAGGAAGTTCCAAACTTTCCCACATTTTCCTATCTCCTGAGCCCTCCAAGTCTCTAGGAAGTTTAAAACTTCCCCACATTTATCTATCTTCTTCTGAGCCTTCCAAATTGTTCCAATCTCTGCCTTTTATCCAGTTCTGAAGTTGCTTCCACATTTTTGGGTATCTTTACAGCAGCACCCTACTTAACCAGTACCAATTTACTGTATTAGTCTGTTCTGTCACTACTAATAAAGACTGAGACTGGGTAATTTATAAAGAAAAGATGTTTAGTGGACTCACAGTTCCACATGGCTGGGGAGGCCTCACAATTACGGCAGAAGGCAAAGGGGGAGCAAAGTCATGTCTTACATGGTGGCAGGCAAGAGAGAAAAAACAGACAAGTGGAAGGGGAAACCCCTTATAAAACCATCAGATCTCATGAGATTTGTTCACTACAATGAGAACGGTATGGGGGAAACTGCCCCCATGATTCGATTATTTTCTACCATGTCCGTTCCACAACACATGGGAATTATAAGTGCTACAATTCAAGATGACATCAAAAATCATATAATCATTCTTTTTAGGGATGTTTTCTAAAAGTGTGAGCTGGGCAAGTTTGCACCGTATTAAACTATGCCATAATTACAAATCCCTGAAGTGAATACTTCAGAAGCGATCTAATTCATGTCTCTTACCATTTAAGACCATTTTAAGGGGCTGAATGTAAAGGGATTATTCATGATTGTCTTTTGCTGTCGTCCAAATATGCTTAGGATGTGGTTGACAAAGTGGCTCATGATGTGGTCTTTACTAGCCTGTTATTGTGTTGCTGTAGAGAACTGCCTGAGACTAGATCATTTATAAAGAAAAGAGGCTTAATTGACTCACAGTTCTGCAGGCTGTACAGAAAATATGGAGCTGGTATCTGCTTGGCTTCTGGTGAAACCTCAGGGAGCTCTCAATCATGGGAGAAGGTGAAGGGGGAGCAAGTGTCTCACATGGCAGAATAGGAGCAACAGAGAGTGGGTGTATTAGTCCATTTCTACACTGCTATAAAGAACAACCTGAGACTGGGTAACTTATGAAGAAAAGATGTTTAATGGACTCAAAGTTCCACAGGCTGTACAGGAAGTATGGATGGGAGGTCTCAGGAAACTTACAATCATGGCAGAAGGGTGAAGGAGAAGCAAACACATCTTCACATGATGGCAGGAGAGAGAGAGAGGAAAGAGAGAGAGCTTGAATGGGGACCCGTTATATGCTTTCAAACAACCAGATCTCATGAAAACTCTATCACAAGAACAGCAAGGGGGATGTCTGCCCCCATTGTTTAATCACTTCTCACCAGGCCTCTACTCCAACACTGGGAATTACAATTTGACATGAGGACTGGGTGGGGACACAGAGTCAAATCATATCAGTGGGGGAGGTTCCACATATTTAAGCAACCAGTTCTCATGAGAACTCACTCACTACTATGAGGACAGAAAGAAGGCATGAGGGATCCAACAGATCCTCTCCAGCATCTGTTGTTTCCTGACTCTTTAATGATTGCCATTCTTACTAACGTGAGATATCTCATTGTGGTTTTGATTTGCATTTCTCTAATGAGCAGTGATGATGAGCTTTTTTTCATATGTTTGTTGGCTGCATAAATGTCTTCTTTTGAGAAGTGTCTGTTCATACCCTTCTCCCACCTTTTGATGGGGTTTGTTTTTTTCTTGTAAATTTGTTTAAGTTCCTTGTAGACTCTGGATATTAACCCTTTGTCAGATGGATAGATATCAAACATTTTCTTCCATTCTGTAGGTTGCCTGTTCACTCTGATGATAGTTTCTTTTGCTATGAAGAAACTCTTTCTTTTAATTAGATCCCATTTGTCAATTTTGGCTTTTTTGCCATTGCTTTTGGTGTTTTAGTCATTTGCCCATGCCTATGTCCTGAATGGTATTGCCTAGATTTTCTTCTAGGGTTTTTATGGTTTTAGGTCTAACATTTAAGTCTTTAATCCATCTTGAGTTAATTTTTGTATAAGGTGTAAGGAAGGGGTCCAGTTTCAGTTTTCTGCATATGGCTAGCCAGTTTTCCCAACAGCATTTATTAAATAGGGAATCCTTTCCCCATTGGTTGTTTTCATCATGTTTGTCAAAAATCAGATCGTTATATATGTGTGGTATGTAGGTGATAGTGTGTAGGTGTTATTGCCGAGGCCTCTGTTCTGTCCCATTGATGTATATGTCTGTTTTGGTACCATTACCCTGCTTTTTTGGTTACTGTAGCCTTGTAATATAGTTTGAAGTCAGGTAGCATGATGCCTTCAGTTTTGTTATTTTTGCTTAGGATTGTCTTGGCTATAGGGGCTCTTTTTTGGTTTCATATGAAATTTAAAGTAGTTTGTTCTAATTCTATGAAGAAAGTCAGTGGCAGCTTGATGGGAATAGCATTGAATCTTTAAATTACTTAGGACAGTATGGCCGTTTTCACAATATTGACTCTTTCTATCCATGAGGATGGAATGTTTTTCCATTTGCTTGTGTCCTCTCTTATTTCCTTGAGCAGTGGTTTGTAGTTCTACTTGAAGAGCTCCTTCATGTCTCTTGTAAGTTGTATTCCTAGGTATTTTATTCTCTTTGTAGCAATTGTGAATGGGAGTTCACTCATGTTTTGGCTTTGTGTTTGTCTATTATTGGTGTAAAGGAATGCTTGCAATTTTTGCACATTGATTTTGTATCCTGAGACTTTGCTGAAGTTGCTTATCACCTTAAGGAGGTTTTGGGCTGAGATGATGGGATTTTCTAAATATACAATCATGTCATCTGCAAAGAGAGACAATTTGACTTCTTCTCTCTTCCTGTTTGAATACCCTTTCTTTCTCTTGCTTGATTGCCCTGGTGAGAACTTCCAGTACTATGTTGAATAGGAGTGGTGAGAGAGGTCATCCTTGTCTTATACTGGTTTCCAAAGGGAATGCTTCCAGCTTTTTCCCATTCAGTATGATATTGGCTACAGGTTTGTCATAAACAGCTCTCATTATTTTGAGATATGTTCCATTAATACCTAGTTTATTGAGTGTTTTTTTAGCATGAAGGGGTGTTGAGTTTTATTGAAGGCCTTTTCTGCATCTATTGAAATAATTATGTGGTTTTTGTCATTGGTTCTGTATATGGGATGGATTACATTTATTGATTTGTGTATGTTGAACCAGCCTTGCATCCCAGGGATGAAGCCAACTTGATCATGGTGGATAAATTATTTGATATGCTGCTGGATTTGGTTTGCCAGTATTTTATTGAAGATTTTCATATCAATGTTCATCAGGGAAATTGGCCTGAAATTTTCTTTTTCTGTTGTGTCTCTGCCAGGTTTTGATATCAGGATGATGCTGGCCTCATAAACCGAGTTAGAGAGGAATCCCTCTTCTTCTGTTGTTTGGAATAGTTTCAAAAGGAACGGTACCTGCTCCTCTTTGTACCTCTGGTAGAATTCGACTATGAATCCATCTGGTCCTGGGCTTTTTCTGGTTGGTAGGCTCCTAATTACTGTCTCAATTTCAGAACTTGTCTTTGGTCTTTTCAGGGATTCGGCTTCTTCCTTGTCTAGTCTTGGGAGGGTATATGTGTCCAGGACTTTATCCATTTCTTCTAGATTTTCTAGTTTATTATTTGCATAGAGTTATTTATAGTATTCTCTAATGGTAGTTTGTATTTCTCTGGAATCAGTGGATATCCCCTTTATCATGTTTTATTGTGTCTATTTGATTCTTCTTTCTTTTCTTCTTTGTTAGTCTGGCTGGCAGTCTATGTATTTTGTAAATCTTTTCAAAAACCTGATCCTGGATTCATTGATTTTTTGAAAGATTTTTCATGTCTTTATCTCCTTCAGTTCTGTTCTGATCTTAGTTATTTGTTGTCTTCTGCTAGCTTTTGAATTTGTTTGTCCTTGCTTCTCTAGTTATTTTCATAGTGATATTAGGGTGTCAATTTTAGATCTTTCCCACTTTCTGATGTGGGCACTTAGTGCTATAAATTTCCCTCTAAACGCAGCTTTATCTGTATCCCAGAGATTCTGGTATGTTGTGTCTTTGTTCTCATTGGTTTCAAAGAACTTATTTATTTCTGCCTTAATTTTGTTATTTACCCAGTAGTCACTCAGGAGCAAGTTGTTCAATTTCCATGTAGTTGTGCTAATTTAAGTGCGTTTCTTAACCCTGAGTTCTAATTTGATTGCACTGTGGTCTGAGAGACTGTTATGATTTCCATTCTTTTGCATTTCCTAAGGAGTGTTTTACTTCCAATTATGTGTTCAATTTTAGAATAAGTGTGATATGGTGCTGAGTAGAATGTATATTCTGTTGATTTGGGGTGGAGGGTTCTGTAGATGTCTATTAGGTCCACTTGGTTCAGAGGTGAGTTCAAATCCTGAATATCCTCATTAATTTTCTACCTCATTGATCTGTCTAATATTGACAGTGGGTTGTTAAAGTCTCCCACTATTATTGTGTGGGAGTCTAAGTGTTTTTTAGATCTCTAAGAACTTGCTTTATGACTTGGGTGCTTCTGTATTGGGTGCACGTATATTTAGGATATTTAGCTCTTCTTGTTGCATTAATCCCTTTATCATTATGTAATGCCATTCTTTGTCTCTTTTGATCTTTGTTGGTTTACAGTCTGTTTTATCAGAGACTAGGATTGCAACCCCTGCTGTTTTTTTGTTTTTTTGCTTTTCATTTGCTTGGTAAATATTCCTTCTTGCTTTTATTTTGAGCCTATGTGTGTCTGCACATGAGATGGGTCTCCTGAATACAGCACACCAATGGGTCTTGACACTTTATCCAATTTGCCAACCTGTGTCTTTCAATTAGGGCGTTTAGCCCATTTACATTTAAAGTTAATATTGTTATGTGTGAATTTCATCCTGTCATTATGATTCTAGCTGGTTATTTTGCACATTAGTTGATGCAGTTTCTTCATAGTGTCATTGGTCTTTATATTTTGCTATGTTTTTGCAGTTTCTGATACCGGTTTTTCCTTTTCGTGTTTAGGGCTTCCTTCAGGAGCTCTTGTAAGGGAGGCCTGGTGGTGACAAAATCCCTTAGCATTTGCTCGTCTGAAAAAGATTTTTTTTCTTCTTTGCTTATGAAGCTTAGTTTGGCTAGATATGAAATTCTGAGTCAAAAATTCTTTTCTTTAAGAATGTTGAATATTGGCCCCCACTCCCTTTTCTGGCTTGTAGGGTTTTTGCAGAGACACCTGCTGTTAGTCTGATGGGCTTCGCTTTGTAGGTAACCTGACCTTTCTCTCTGGCTGCCTTTAACATTTTTTCCTTCATTTAAACCTTGGGAATCTGACAATTATGTGTCTTGTGGTTGCTCTTCTTGAGGAGTATCTCAGTGGTGTTCTCTGTATTTCCTGAAAATGAATGTTGGCTTGTCTTGCTAGGTTGGAGAAGTTCTCCTGGATCATATCCTGAAGTATGTTTTCCAACTTGGTTCCTTTCTCCCCATCACTTTCAGGTACATCAATTTATTGTAGGTTTGCTCTTTTCATATAGTCCCATATTTCTTGGAGGATTTATTCATTCGTTTTCATTCTTTTTTCTCTAATCTTGTCTTCATGCTTTATTTTATTAAGTTGATCTTCACTCTCTGATATCCTTTCTTCTGCTTGATCGATTTGGCTATTGATACTTGTGTATGCCTCATGAAGTTCTCATGCTGTGTTTTTCAGCTCCATCAGGTGATTTATCTTCTTCTCTAAACTGGTTATTCTCATTAGCAGTTCCTGTAACTTTTTATCAAGGTTCTTAGCTTCCTTGCATTGGGTTAGAACATGCTCCTTTAGCTCAGAGGAGTTTGTTATTACCCACCTTCTGAAGCCTACTTCTGTCAATTTGTCAAACTCATTCTCCATCCAGTTTTGTGCCCTTGCTGGTGAGGAGTTGTGATCCTTTGGCGGAGAAGAGGCATTCTGGCTTTTGGAATTTTCAGCATTTTTATGCTGTTTTTTTCTCATTTTCCTGAATTTATCTACCTTTGATCTTTGATGCTGATGACCTTTGGAAGGAGTTTTTGCGTGTGCATCCTTTTGTTGATGTTGATGTTATTGCTTTCTGTTTGTTAGTTTTCCTTCTAACAGTCAGGCCCCTCTTCTGCAGGTCTGCTGGAGTTTGCAGAGGTCCACTCCAAACCGTGTTTGCTTGGGTATCATGAGGGAAGGCTGCAGAACAGCAAAGATTGCTGCTTGCTTCTTCCTCCAGAAGCTTCTTCCCAGAGAAGCACCCACCCCAGATTCCAGCCAGAGCTCTCCTGTATGAGGTGTCTGTCACCTCCTGATCAGACATGTCTCCTAGTCAGGAGGCATGGGGGTCAGGCACCCACTTGAGGAGGCAGTCTGCCCCTTAGCAGAGCTCAAGCACTGTGCTGGGAGATCTGCTGCTCTCTTCAGAGCCAGCAGGCAGGAACATTTAAGTCAGATGAAGCTGTGCCCACAGCCACACTTCCCTGAGGTGCTCTGTCCCAGGGAGATGGGAGTTTTATCTATAAGCCCCTGACTGGGGCTGCTGCCTTTCTTTCAGAGATGCCCTGCCCAATTAGGAGGAATCTAGAGAGGCAGTCTGGCCATAGCAGCTTTTGTGTGCTGTGGTGGATTCCACAATGTCCAAACTTCCCGGCGGCTTCATTTACACTGTGAGGGGAATACCACCTAAGACTCAGTAATGGTGGATGCCCCTTACCCCACCAAGCTCGAGCATCCCAGCTCAACTTCAGACTGCTGTGCTGGCAGTGAGAACTTCAAGACAGGGGAGCTTAGCTTGCTGGGCTCTAGGGGGGTTGGACTCAGTGAGGAAGACCATTTGGTTCCCTGGCTTCAGCCCCCTTTCCAAGGGAGTAAATGATTCTGTCTCCCTGGTGTTCCAGGCGCCATTAGGGCATGAAAAAAAAAACTCCTGCAGCTAGCTCGGTGTCTGCACAAACAGCTGCTCAGTTTTGTGCTTGAAACCTAGGGCTCTGGTGGTTTAGGCACATGAGGAAATCTCCTGTTTGCAGGTTGCAAAATCCATGGGCAAAGCATAGCATCTGGGCCAGATAGCACAGTCCCTCATGGCTTCCCTTGGCTAGAGGAGGGAGGTCCCAGCCCCTTGTGCTTCCTGGGTGAGGCAATGCCCCACCCTGCTGCTGCCTGGCCTCTGTGGGCTGCACCCACTGTCTAACCAGTCCCAGTGAGATGAACCAAGTACCTCAGTAGGAAATGCAGAAATCACCTGCCTTCTACATTGGTCTTGCTGGGAGCTGCAGACTGGAGCTGTTTCTATTTGGCCATCTTGCCAGATCTCCCTAAACTTACTGATAAATGTTTTTAAATACCTTTCAAATAGAACAAAATCTGGCAAAAAATAAGAAGTCATAATACCAAAATGCAAATGAAGATTTGGGCCCATGGAGCTAGGTGACACTGAAACTCTTTGCCAGGAGGACATCTGCTGAGCCAGCTACATCTGCAGGTTGCTTTTTCAGAGGCTTAGAGATTTTATAGAGATAAAGTTCCTGCTAGACCCCTCAAAATGGGAGGTCTGTAGGACCAGGTTCCACTGTTTCCCTTTCTGATGGTGTCCTTATTTCTCCATAGCAGCGCCAGTCACATATGCAATTAAATAATTGCACAATTACTGATTTATATTTCCCTTATTCTTTAACAATAACTCCCTTGCCTGTCTTGTTGATTATCTGATTCCCTGTTGCTAGTATAATTTTTTACACATAGTAGAATCTTGATAAGTATTTGTTGAATGAGTGCATGACTGTGTGAATTAATTTATCCACCTCTAATTTCAATCAGTAACAATGTCCTTTGAAACTATCCAAAGAAATTTAAATCTGAAACTTTACTTTCCCATTGCCCTACAGTAACTTGATATTTCAACCAAAGATCACCTTTACTACAAATTCCACCGATTTACATTGCTTAGATTAGAAATCAGCATGCCTGGGGTGTGATTTTTCAGGTGACTTCTGGACCTAACTCAGAACTCCAGGTGCACATGAACCACAGCAATCACTGAAGTCAGGATTTTTAGCCAGAGCAATGGGCAAGCTGTGGCTGACCTGACAAGAAAGGGTGAGTTTCTACGACATCTTACCAGGGCTGCTCCAAGAAAGGCTTTGTCTTTTATAAATGCAGTAATTATACATGAGGGGTTAAGACACAATGGTTTCCCCCAGCCCCCAATCAAGAATCATTGCTGTATTGTTGTATTAATGAGGATCGCTTCTACCATAGTCACACTTGCACAGGGATATGACTCCGTTGTAAAATTGGTTTCTAAAAATAAAATGAAACCCTGAAACTTGATAAAGGCATTTATTTATTATAAGTACCTACATTCATTTATATATCTGTTAGAGATAGAGATCAGATTATTTATTGTGATCATGAAAAGAGAATAGCTATGGGTAAATAGGAAACCTGTATCTGGATGCATGAGTGGGTTGAAGTTGGGGCTGGGTTAGAACGAATTTTATTTATTTTTCTCTGGTGAAAAATAATCATTTGTGAGCTAGAAAATAAAACGACATTTAAGATGTTTTAGAAATCCAATTACATCTTTCTTCAGTTTAGACAAACATATACGAACATCGTGAATGGATTCTGTGTACCAGTGCAGTGTTATTGTTTCTTCAAACATGAATAAGATCCACTCCTAACACTTAAGAGGTCCCTAAAGTTGTCTCATCCACAGATAGCAAATTCCTTTACTTACTCAGCCACTTGACAATTATCCATCTTAGTCTACCGAGCACACTCTAGCTTCCCGCCATCTGGAAATGAAGTCCAATCTCCTGACCTTTGTTCACCAAGTCTTTTTCATATGGGTATTGCTATCATATCTCTTCCATGGCATCATTCATCTCTCCAGATATACTGTAGAATTTGGGGTTCCTGTAAGGGACTTTGATCTTAACTGCTTCCCTCAGCTCACAGCTCATAGCTGTTTTCTAGGGACAGAAAATGAATAAGACAATAAGACCATGATAATCCCTGGTCACTTAAAACATACAACCTTGGAGGGATATATGTTTTATGTGGAAAGGGATTATGATGGACTTGTCTTAATTCCCATTTTTTGTCCCTAGAAACCAGCATATGTCTGACATATTTAGCAGTGCTGACTATATTTTGGCTGGGACCCACTATATCTTTGATCCAGGTAGATGGGTTTGTATTGGCTACATTAATAAGGACAGTAAAACCTAATATCCAACACACAACTTGTCTAAGGTCCATTCAGAATATATTACATAATGTTTTTGCTTCATGATATTTGGCAGAACTCTTGGAACTCTTGACTTTCCCACAATTTCATTTCCCACCTTATCTTTTCTATCTCATAAATGTTACTCCTGTGTTCAATCAAAATATAAGCCAGCAGTTTTCAAACTTTTTGTTATGATGATCTCTTCATACTTTTAAAAAGTTGAGGATTTCAAAGAGTGTCTGTGGATAAATTCTATCTCCAGCTACTTACCATGTTGGAATTTTAAACAGAGAGCTTTGAAAGCACCAACACACACTAGCCATCATGGTGCAGGTGCCGTTTCAAGGCACCAAGTTCATGGAGAGCCTGCTGCAAGCTCGTGAGGAAATGAGAGTGAAAAGATGAACCACCCCACAGGAATTATAATGGAAGTTATTTTGACCTTGTTGGCCATAGAGCCTGGGATACAGTTTGAAAACCTCTGGTGTGAATTATCTTTTATTTCTTGTTTTTCTTCACCCCTTCATAGCCAATCAGGAACTCCTGTCAGGTTGGAAAAAATGTGTCCCAAATCTTTGTATTCATTTGATTTTGGCTGTGACCACCCTAGACCACCCTGGTTCTGCTCACGAAGATCCTTACAAGAAGCCATGCTTTCAGCATTCTGTAGTCGGCAGAATAAGGACCCTCAAGGGTCTCCACTTTCTAATCCCCAAAACCTGTGAATGTTACTTTATATGGAAAGAGGGACTTTGCAGCTGTGACTAAATCAGCCTCTTGAGATGGGGAGAGTGTCCTGGGTAATCCACATGGGCCCAGCATCCTCACAAAGGTCCTTATGAGAGGTCGGTAGGACATCGGAGTGAGAAGAAGGAACGAGGGAAGCAGAGGGAAAGGTGGGGGATGTGTGATGTAGGGTCGCTCCAGGTGAGGACCACAGCCATCCTGAAAAGCCTAGGCACAGATTCTCCCCTGCAGCCTCCAGAAGGAACATGTTCCTGCCGACAACTTGACTGTAGCCCAGTAGGACTGATTTTGGACTTTGGACTTCCAGGACTGTAAGATAATGCACGTGTGTTGTGTTAAATTTGTAGTAGCTTGTGGTAGCTGCGATGAAAATTGAATGCAGCCATTAGCTGTTCTTTCTCTCTGGTTCTTTTCTTCCCCATGTTAGAATCCGTTTTCCACCATAGCCAGAGTGATTTTCAATATCTTTATCAGATCATTTTGCTCCTCTATTGGGAACCCTCCAGCATCCCTGTTGTCCTTTGAAAATAAAGCACACCCCTTGCCTCGTCCTGCTAGCCTTGGATTATGTACCTGCAGACCATGGCAGCTCATCCCACTCTTTTCCCTAATTCACTGCCCACAGTCACCTGGCCTTCCTGTCTCTCAGGCAAGTCCACCTCACTCTGCCTCAATGCCTTTGCTCCCCGTCTCTTTCCCTGGAGTGCACCCCTCATCTACACCTGTCTGCTCACTCTCACCACTGGGGTCTTAGGGCACCATCACCTCCTCAGAGAATCCTTCCCTGAATAACCCAGATTGTCTTGATCCATCCACTTCCTCCAGGATCCTACTTATATCAAGATTACTCAAAATGTCACAATAGTAGTTATCACCGCCTGGATTTATCTTTTGTTCATTAGTATCCATTACTGATTTTCTGACATTTGTCACTCAAAGACAGGTTCAGAGAGCAGGCCTTTCCCCTGCTTCGCTCACCATTATATTCACAAAATCCTGAGCAGTGGTAAATGACAATCTGGTCTGACTATTTTTCTCTAAATATACAGACTAGCTGCTCGATAAATATATGTTGAAATAATGAGTGAGTATTTTGGCACACTTTCCTTTCTTTTTGCAGTCTGCTAATGCTCTAAGTAGACAGGCTTTCCTAGAAGATCTTAGAGAGAAGAAAGCAGCAACAGTAGCCCTGCCCATTCATGACCTTAACGTCGCAGACATGGCAGGTCCTGTGCCCAGGCTATCTAAGTCAAGTCGGAGAGAGCTGGGCCTCAGGTTTCTCCAAGCTTCTCTAGTCAGGATCTCCGAAAACACAGGATATTCCGTCATCTGAGACTATATAAAAGGGAATCCAGGTTTAAGAAAGATTAACTCCCATGCAGTGTATCCCTGCGGGGCTGGGGGAGGAGGATGAGGAGCCTCTCAGAACACAGTGCATGTGAGTTAAGCTTTCTTAAACCTGGATTCCATTTTTTATAGTCTCAGATGACAGATGTTTATATCCCAGAGAGTGGGCAAAAGCCCTCGTTATGCTGCAGTCCGTTGACCTAAACATTTCTCCTCCCATTACTGTTCTTTAAATACACCATCTTGAAAGCATGAGGGAAGGTTTTTTTGATAAAATCTGTCAATTGTGAGGTTCATAACCCTAGAAAGCACCTCTCATCTGATAGCGTGCTCCTCTTATCCTATAGCTGGCATAAAACGCTGCTAATTCATCTTCTCCTGATAGGAAACATTAGATTATTCCATGAGATCAGAAAACTTGAACATTCTTGACATTACCCATGAATATTTGCCCATTTCCTACCTATTTCACTCATTCTGAATCCCCTGCAGTTAGAAATGGCGCAGATAAACTTTCACCATTTCAGAAAATATAGCCCCAATAAAACATTTTTTGCCACCCACAGAACAGCAAAGGGCACTCTTCATTTCTAGGCAGAGCATTTTGTAAATTGGAAACGTATCAGTGACAATTATCAAGAAACAGTTTTCAAAATGCACTCCTTTCTATGGAGCCTAGCAATTCTTCTTTCACAAAGACATTAACCAAAAGCAATGCTCTGAAAATGTCATTTGGAGCATGCAATTGAATTAATTTATTTGTTTTATGATATTTTACAGTTAGTCATGTAAGAGATTTTCACTTTATTTTTTCATCTGCTCATTTAGATAATGCTTTAACTGCCATAAATCCCAGCTACGGAGGTGAGGAAACGGCATGAGCATAACCATATCCTCTACGTATTGCATAGTGAATGCAAGCTGGCCTGACTATTCATTGTATCTTTTCGTTGAGGCGCTTGGCTTCCACTCCAAATGTGAAGTCTTTTCCTTTTCCAGGTAAAACTAGTATTGTGTAATTAATTTTGCAGATGAGAAAATGGGGGAAATTCTATTATAAGCTTGATAGGAGAAAGCATATAATGTCCTCGTCAGTGGAGGAGCATTCGAAATATCATGAATGAAATGCCCTAAGGTCTCCACTTGTTGAGGACGGGTGGGTGGAATTATGCCAAGTGTTGTTCACAATGCCTTGATTCTTGGGGCAAGGAGAACATAAATCCACTCTAAAATCAACTTAAAACTTGGGCTAAATATGTGGATGCAAGGAGACCCCCCCCCCGCCCACAATGTAATTGTACCGAGTCCAAGATGCTGAACTACATAGCATTTTTATGTTTGGACCAACAGTTTTGAGATATTAATCTGAATTTTGTCACCTAAATGTTCTATAGCAATATTTGAAATATTTGAAACTATTTTAGTAATTATTTTACATGTGAAAAGTAGCAAAATTTGATGAAAGTTACACATATAGTATTCCAACTACTATTTTGATAGTAAGAAATAGCTGCTTATTCATTACTCCAGATCATTATTTACTTACACACTGCATCTTGGATCCTAGAAATCTAAGATGTCTCTGAATATTGCTCAAACATTTACTTTTTAAAGACTATATATCATGGAAATGGTCTGTTTTGTGCTTTAGCCAAGCGTATCATTTTGTTACCCTTAACTGCTCTCTAAGTGCAATGCAATGATGCCCATCCAGAACATTGTCTATGCTAAATTGTGGAAAGAGTCATTCACAATTTCCTATTCTCTGTTCGCAAATCCAGTCCTAGGGTAATAGGCAGGTTAATTCCTTCTACGAGAATCCATTGCACCCTGTATCTCCCTTTTGATATGATGGATTATACATATGATCATTTGCTTGCGTTAAGCTCATGTATCTTTCTGGTCTGTAATTTCCATAGGATAAGTTTGTGCCAGTGGCATGCTGTTTGCAGTTTTCATGCATTCAACAAGCATTTATTGTGTCTTATGTGTCAAGCATGATTCTAGAGAATGAAGATTTAGCAGTAAGCAAAACAGAAAAAAATCCCTGCCTTCATGAAATTGGGATTTTCATGAAAGTTGTTATTGCTATTTTAAACCTTTTCCAACTTTCTTAGCTGTCTTTGGATCTTTATTTTCCTATCTGAATTTCAAAAGAAGATTCTTGAGCTTCTCAAGATCCAGCTAAAATTTTAATTAAGGTAGCACTGAATTCATAAGTTAATTTTCAGGAAATTGATGTTTTTATAATATGTTATCTCAATTTATTTGGATCTTTTAGGGTCCTGTATTCAGATCTTTTATGCCTTTATGTATATTTGATAATTATCAAAAATTTTATTGTAGGTTGTACTGTAAATATTTCATTTCCTATTATTTTACTACAGACAAATTGCACTATTTTGGTAAGTTATTCATTTATGCAGTAAATTTGTTCAACTCTCTCATTACTTATTGTAGTTTTTCTGTTGGTTATATTTGTTGTGGTTTGTAGATGAGGCTGTCATTTGCAAATAATGATGTTTGCCTTTTCTCTTAAAATAATTGCACTGCTGTATTTTTTTTATTTCTTACAACATTGGCTAGGAATTCTATTCTCTGTTGAACAGTTGCAGTGAAAATACACATGCCTGGTTTGTCCCCATTAAGTAAATATTTGTGATAGATTTTTGATATACAGTTTTTACTTTGTTAAGAGAGTTCTTTTTTATTCCTAATTTGCTGTGAGATTTTTAAAATCATAAATAATGCACATTTTCAAATGCTTTTTCTGAATCTACTGATATAATTATAAGATTTTTCCATTTAAATCAGCAAATTGCATTGATAGATTATTTATTACTGAATTATTCTTCCATTTCTGGATCAATATGACTTCCTCATGATTTATTTGTTTCATACACTGTTAGATTTGAACAGACAATTATATCTGCATGCATCAGTTAAATGGATTTATAAATTTTTGTTTTTATACTGTCTTTACCTGCTTCAAAATTTAATTTATATAATTTTCAGAAATAAACTCTTTAGAAATTGTAAGAATGTACAGTAAATTGTTTAGTCAGTTTTCAAATTGGCAAATTGTTCAGTTAGCCTACTTTTTGTTCTTTCAATATAAGTGAAATTTTTGTTTACATATATCTTGAAATATATGTGTGTGACTCTTGAGGAAGAGTTCCTTGGCAATAAAATCACTAAGATAAAATTATATACATTTTTAAAATTTTATGAATACAACCAAAATTGCCCCAGAAACTTTCATACTTACACCAACGTATTTCCAGTCTTAAATATTATTATTGTTTTGAGTAGCATTTGTTTTATTTTGAGTGAGATTAAGCATTTATTTAGTTTTGACATGTTGTTTCTATAAATTGTCTATTTATATAGTTAGCTCTTTTAGTGAGTAATTGATTGCTTCATCATGATGTATATCTACTTTTATGAATTAAGAAATTTAGCTACAGAGGCTGTGAACTGTATTCTCAGTTTACTGTTGAACATTTAAATTATCATATTTTTTAATTTGTTAAATATAAATATTTATAAAATGAAATATATCAATTTTTCAGTTATAACTTTTTACTTTTTCTTATACTTTTGTACTTTTAAATTGCAAAAAATATTACACATTCATTTTTCTTAAACTGTTGTGGTTTTTTTATATTTAAACTTTTGACCAAACTGGAATTCTATTTTATTAAGTAATAAACTGGAGATTAAGCTTTATTATTTTCAAATAATTCTCTCAAACCAATTAGTTTACATAACAGAATTTCTTCAATCATACAAAATAATACTTTCTCATAATGTGAATTTCTACATTTTGTTATGTCTATGTGTTCTGTGTTATGCAATAAACTATTTTTTCTCCGTAGAAATGAGGTTAATTTTTGTAGCTTTATCATAGGTTTAATTTCTGGAAGTCTTGGCCTATCAATGTTACTCTGTACTTTAACAAATTTCCAGTTGAGGTTTAATGTTGTTCTGCAGACTCCCTCTTTAGCATTTTAAGGGGATTGAATACTGTATTTAATCATTGCTGCACTGCTTATGATCGTGGGTTAATGCATGACTTGGCTGAAAGCTATTGTCACTGAAATAGAAATATCCTGGCTTACAAAAGTTCCAGAGACTTTAATCTATTCAGAGCACGTAGGTTTATCCTCCATGTGAGATGGGCATGGCCATGAACACTAGGACAAGAGTTTGGATCAAGGTTTGTGGGTTCATATTTTTGTAGTTGTTTTTCATAATAATTTCTACTTCACAGTTATTTACTCCTTTGATTCCTCTGCTCATACAATTCAGCTAATTTGATAGACTGGTCTATGATGCATCATTAAAGCTGCAGGATGTTGCGTAAACATCTCTAAATAAGAAAAGACTATCCACAGCTGAAAAAAATGTCCCTCTATGTCCTCATTCACAAATACAATTTCTTTTGTAGTCTCTAACACTTTGCATCATATAAGTAGGAGAGGGTTAACTATATCCTCACCGTTATACTTGTTCAAGTTTTCTGATAGGATTGTGGGTGTCACTAATGTTCTAAATGTTCTTGTTCTTCACCTTGGGGAGGGATATTTCAAACCTGTTACTACTTAATTAATCATCCCTTCCCTACTATTCACTTCCAGTGTTGGTCACACTCCTGTAGTAATTCCATTTCCCTCGGTCCTTTGGCTGTGAAATAGGTGATGCCCTCCCCACATGGCTCACGTATTCCTGAATTGGCCTCACTGGCTCCAGTTCACCCCTGCTTGATCCATTCTACAGGAACATTAAGAGTTATCTTCTCCTGCTCAGGATTAATCATCACTGCCTTTAGAAGAGCCCTTGAGGGCTTACAATAGCCACTTAAATTAAATTGAAACCTCTTGTATTAGGACTCAGCAAATTGTGTACTCTGCTTTAGTCAACTGGTTGCTGTTCCTACCCTGCTCCAACTATTATTCTCTGTTTCTGCTAAACAAACTCACTCATATATATTAGGCTTCAATTCCTACTTTCAAGTAACTCTCTCTATCCTTTTCTCTCCTTCAAACCTCTCTTCAACTTTCACTCGACTCTTGTAATAGTTATCATTTTCAGTTTCCCTTGCTGTCCACTTCAGTAATTCTTTCTGAAAGCACCTACTCATTCTTTATTTTTAAATGTAATTATTAAAGATTATTTGGCAATATTAGGCCCCAGGGAAAATGCTGCCTTTACATGATCATAATACAAATTGATAATAAAAACATTGACCAAGAAATTTACTTTTCTTTCTCATCTTTTATACGAAGGTAGAGGACATTTCCACCTTATATTGTTATTTAAGGAATATATGAGTTATATAGAAAGTTGGCCCTTCATATGTATGGATTCTGCATCCGTGGATTCAATCAACCACAAATCTAATATATCATTTAAAAAAGGAATGGTCACAGCTGTACTGAACATGTACAGACTTTTTTTTATTATTAAACCATACAGTATAACAATTATTTACACAGCATTTACAACGTGTTAGGTATTATAAGTAATCTAGAGATGATTTAAAGGATGCAAGAGAATGTGCATAGGTTATAGGCAAATACTACACCATTTTATAAAAGAGACTTGGCTATTTGTGGATTTTGAATTTTGATATACACAGATGTTCTAGAACCAATCACCCACAGATTACAAGGGACAACTGTAGAAAGTAATTAGAACATATCCCTACATGGATATCAAGATATCTATATGTATCATCTGTTTATTGATCCCTCTATCTATACTTTCCATTTTCATTGATTTTACTAGATATTACCACCATTGCTTCTTCAAAATCCAGCTCAAGTTTTCGCAAAACATACATGCTCAATTATATTTCAAGTCAGTATTTACTCATGAATGAATGGTAATACATCTACCTGATTCTTGTGATAGTATTCTTCATATACAGGGAATTTGATAAATGCATAGAATATAACTGAATAACTTTGTACATGCCTATTGCTACAAATTAGAACTTTTACTATGTCAGCTGCTCAAAAGTTTGCTTGCAACTCTGATGGTAATAGACGGGTGTCTCCATGAATAATTAGTGAGACAATTATAAACAAAACTGTTTACATGTTACAGCACCATCACAATTTAAAAACCAGATTATTAATAAATGCAATATATAATTGTAGTTGAAACAAATAACCTGAGATTACATTGATTATTTGGTTAATTCTTCTGAAGATAGCTATAAAGACTTAATATCAAAATATTTCTCTATTGGCCAGGTGTGGTGGCTCACACCTGTAATCGCAGCACTTTGGGAGGCAGAGGCAGGCGGATCACTTGAGGTCAGGAGTTTGACACCAGCATAGCCAACATGATGAAACCCCATCTCTATTAAAAATACGAAAACTAGCCAGGCATGGTGGTGTGCACCTCTAGTCCCAGTTCTCAGGAGGCTGAGGCAGGAGAATCACTTGAACCTAGGGGCGGAGGCTGCAGTGAGTGAAGTTCACACCAGTACACCCTAGCCTGGGTGACAGAGTGAGACTCCATCTCAAAAAAAATTTATATATATATATACACATACACACATACACATATATATCTATTAAGCTTTTTAAATTATATCAACTTAAAGGCAGATATCCTTCTATATAATGTGGCTTGTTCCATCAAGAATTTGAGGCTCTTCACACTTTTTTTCTGAATTCAAGCAAACTTCCAAGTTTACATACAATAAAAATAGTCAAATATGTTAAAAAAATGTGTTATCTAAATAAATACGTTTATAAGCACAATTTAAAAATGGCCTCTTGTACCTTATAATTGATAGAAATATAACTTTTAGAAAAACAGGAAAACACAATGTCTTCCTAGAATTTCTGACAACCTCACAAGCCTGCCCTGCAAATAATCACAATATGAAACAACTCTTCTGCTTCATTTCTATATGGTTATATTGGTTGTTTTTAAAAACAATTTTTAATTGTTTTTTAACTGTAACCAGTCCTCCAAGCAAAAATTAAAAGTATGTTGTTGATGTTTTAATTGAGTTTACTTTTACAATGAAGTTTCTGAAGATGCCAGAAGTCATTTCCTTACACTTTAGAAAGTGCAAGAAAATGTCCTTTTATGATAAATTGTTAAATTGCAGTTAAAATATTAAAAATATTTTATAGTGTATAGACCAAGTCAAGAACTTACTTAACTGTATGCTATTTTAAAAGTTGTAAATTTCTTCAAACTCTAAGTTAGAACATTCGTTTTGAAAACTATTTTAATAGCTGTTTTGAGCGGTAGTGTTTTTGGTGTTGAATATATATTTAAATTTAAAATTTAACTAATACACAGGTGGATCATGAAGATGGACTATGAATTAAAGGTTATGATTAATCTAATTCTGTGCACCTGAGGTATAATTTTTTTTAGAGACAAAAGTCTCAACTTACATAGCTTAAGAAAATCAGTCCAGTTAAAATTTAAGTAACGACACATAAAGTAGTCAATAGAATGCATCTACGTGTGTGTGTGTGTTTTTTTTTCTCTCTAAGCAGCTGGCAACATTTCAAACACTCTCGTAGGTGCATTAGTCTATGCAGTGGTTAGAGGAAATGAGAACCTTCCCCAACGCTTATCCACCGTTTCCAGGAGGGGAAATGAAAGGTCAGAGAAGTGATTTGCTGACTAGGGGAGTCAGCCTAACAGTGGCTTTCAGCTAATCAGTGATCTCTGGTCAGGAGAAAGTTCGTTTCTAAGAGGCAAAGTCCTTGGAGACTGGCCAGATTTGTAAAAAATAATACTGTTGTTCCTTTGGATTTTTCTTTCTTTATACAAAAATCTAGTCCACAGATTGCTTACAGGTAACTATAGATCCATGAGTTTCAATTTGATTGACTCTCAGTGTTTTGCAGCACTCAGTGTAGGGAAAGGGGAGATAATATAATGATGAATAGGCAAGAGGAACTGATACATGGTACATATAAAGGCACAAAGAGCTATAGAGCAATGTAACAGCTTTCATTTACTGAAGAGAAGCTATGTGCAGATTATTTTGTGGATATTTAATTGGCCTCAAAAGCGTCCCATCAAACATGTCTAATTATCCCCATCTCAATGACAAGAAAACTGAAACTTAAACAGTTTAAATCACTTGCTCCAATTTGCATCGGCAGTAATGTTAGCGGTTGGTGAATGTTAATTCCAGCCTCAGTCCAGTTCTGTTGCTCCAAAACTTCTGCTCTTCCTAACAGGCAAGACTTCTCTTGTGCTTCCCTTGTTCCGTCTACTCTTCCCAGTGAGGGAATTTTACCATTATCCCTACCTTACCAGTGATACAACCGAAGCTTAGAGAAGCACAGTGACTTTTTGAAGGCCTCTTGGTGAAAGGGAAAAGCAGTACCCAACACCGGAGTTCGTTGCATGTCTGTTTTGAATGACAGCATGGCTTATTAACTTCTACATTAAGCCAAACTTTGTGGGGAAGATGGAAAGGAGAAAACTGTGTTCTCCAAACATGTGCTAGTGTTTTGTATTCCCTTGTCATTGGTCTAGTTATAACGATGTCCCATGCCTGTCTCCATATAGAAGCTGGTGACTTGTCATGGTATAAAATGTTTTCTTGTCATTGACCAATTACAGAGCTTATCAAATAAAAGAAACACTGCTAGTAGAAATCCCAGCTGACCAGCTTGGAAATGGAATACATCTTACAAATGTCCAACTTCAGAATGATGAGTTTCTTTTATTTTTTATTTATTTTTTTGAGACAGAGTCTCACTCTGTTGCCCAGACTGGAGTCCAGTGGCACGATCTTGGCTCACTGCAATCTCTGCCTGCTGGGTTCAAGCAATTCTCCTGCCTCAGCCTCCTGAGTAGCTGGGACTACAGGCATGCGCCACCATGCCTGGCTAATTTTTTTGTATTTTTAGTAGAGACGGGGTTTCACCATGCTGGCCAGGCTGGTCTCAAACTCCTGACCTCATGATCCACCCACCTTGGCCTCCCAAAGTGCTGGGATTACAGGTGTGAGCCACCACGCTGGGCCGGGTTTCTTGATCAATCAGCTTAGAAGAGTTGAAAATCACAAGGAAAGTAAAATACAAGCCACAGATTCATGTGTAGAGGAAGGTGGCTAATTAATTCAGATTTTTGTTGGCTGGCATTTTGAAAGCCCAATAGTAATCTTTGTGTGTCCTTAGAGACTGTGATTGTAAATTTGGTTTTAATTACATATGTTAGTATACTGGTTGAAAAAAAGAATCAAGTAAATAATTTACAAATGCTAAATTATAGAGAGGCATGCTGGCATGCTTGAATGATGGTTTTCTTGGAGACATTAGGCAGCAGGTCATTAGTGAGAGGAAGCTTTCAAAAACATGAAGTTTGGTTTTCTGCATGTTAATGCTTTGTTTATAAGACTTGTAGTTATATCTAGCTCTTGGATGTCCACACAATTCTGTGTGTCTATTTGTGATCTGCTACATGGAAACCTGGACTGGGAAGCCAGACCCAGGTTTTGAGGTAACTCTAACCAATGGAGGTGGCAATTATTTGTTCACTTATGCCACAGATATCTTACAGTACGGAGTTTATGGCAAAAACTTACTAAGGCTGAATATGCAAAGCTAAAGAAAAGACACGATTCAATGTGCTCAGACTCTCCAGTGGCATGGTTGATACTGACTGTTAACAAGCGAACAAAGGTTAGAATAGTTAGTTTTGCTAGGATGAGGGAAAAGGCAACATCTTCAAGGGAACAGACTTGAAAAACATGGGCCATCTTTTCCATTCCACATGCATAGGAAGAGATCTTTTCCATTTTTACCCTCTGTAACTCTAACCAAGCAAGGTGCCTTGTACTACACAATACGGGCATGATAAATACATATTTCTGTAATTTATATAAATTTATATTTGCCTACATATTTTTAACTTTCAAAAATGCCAAATATACCTAAGGTAAAATACAATAAATTTCTATTCTTCCTTTTCATGGTAATTTTGTTTCAAGTGGAAATACAAATGAAAGTTCAATAAATTTGGGGTTGAAACCATTTCTCTTTCCTATGAGAATGAATCACTGGGGAGAAGAGAAAAAGCCCTTTTCACACTGTGAGGCATGTCTGCAGAACAGTTCCCCTGTCATGGAACTGCCACTACCTGTCCGCATCTTTGTTTGAATAAAATGGATCTGCCGGCACGTTATGTCACTCACAGAAGACTTAACATTGTGCAAAATCTCCCCCTGAAAATAAAGAGGGCACAATATTTGAGTAATTTGTACATTGGTAGGTGAGAATTAGTAATCTTGTGAATAGCACAGTGATAACCCACTTCGGTGCTTTTAACTGATGTCATTCTTTCCTACATAACTTTCCAATTCTGGTTGTCTGAGACTTGTCTCTTCATGGGCTCTGCAGACTGATCCTCTACCATATTGTTTCCTCTGGTGTCGTCCAAGTTTCTGATTTTAGGTCAGCACTCTGCTCTCCAGAAGCCACACTCCTTGTCCTCAGTGACATAATTATCTTTATGTCCTCTGGGAAAGGAGAATATGGCCAGGAACAAGATCAGGAGACAGAAACGTGTCTGGAAAAGCCTTTGGTTTGGCTGGAAAGCTCACATAAACAGAACATCTATAACCTCAGTTAATTCTAAACCCAAATCCATTGAATAAAGGGGAAAAATCCATATTACCTGACTCATTTTTTGTTGAACTTCTTTTAAGATAATTGGCCAGTGGGCCTAATGGAGCACCTCCAACAAACATTTTCTCCACTTCCTCCCCTCCCCAGACTTGTGCTTCCTTTTGTTTTCTTTCCATTTGTTAGTCTCGTGAGGTGGTGATCACTCCTTCCCTTCCCTTCCTTTCCCTTCCCTGCCCTGCCTTGCCCTGCCCTGCCCTGCCCTCCCCTCCCCTCCACTCCCCTCCCTTTCCCCTCCCCTCTCCTTCCCTTCCCCTCCCTTCTTACATATCTTATCCAATGGTCCAATAACCTGTAGTCCCTAGCCATCCCAGCTCACTCTACCATGTAGCAACCCACATCCTTGTGGGTGTGGGTATGGGTGTGGGTGTGTGTGGAGAGTGTATATGTTTATATATATATTTTTTTCAGACGCATTGTTATTTAAGTAAGTGAAGAAAATCTGTGACATCTTTTCTACCTAAGCAAATTATAATACTTTATCAATATCTTCTTTTTACTAAAACAAACCCATATCATTTTCATAATATTAGATTGGCGCAAAAGCAATCGTGGTTTGACAAAAACCACGATTGCATTTGCACCAACCTATAATTCTATTTCAGATAAGAAAAAAGTTATTAAACTTGCTAATCTTCATCAGGATCATGTTATCTATCAGTTCATCTTTGATTGTTCAGCCAATTTCCAGGTGGAGTGTAAGGAAAACAGAAATTGATTTGGTAGAAATTTTCCTTAAACTTCTAGAAATACTTGTGGATTTCTAATTGCTCACATGTGTGGTGAGTCTGGCTACAGATTGATAAGACACTTTTGCCAATTTCACCTGTGAAAAAATATCTCATTTTTTTATAGTCAGCCTTTCTAAAGTGTCTCCAGTGTGCCACTTTTATCTGCCATTCTGGAACAGAGAATGCTCTGATTCCTCTCTCTGGTAAAACAGAAGTCCTCCTTCTTGGAGACTGAATGAATTTTAGGTGGAAGCATTTCTTTCCTCACTTGTCCCGTTTGTTCTGATGACGTGCTTCTCCATCCAGGTAACAGCCTGCCCGACGCGGATCCGGGAATACAAACAGGCTGTGCATATAGTTGGAGCCTCTCTTCACACAGCATTTCATCCTTAGGCTCAACATGTCATCAACAAGGCTTTTTAAGACCACTAATAATCACCCTTTGGGTTTTGGAAAAACCAGTACTCAGATTTTGGCTAATATGATTGTCATACATTTGCTTAATAAAGTTTCCGCCTCAGCATCTATTTTTAAGCCTGACGTAAGTTGCTGGAAGCCCAGCTGCACCCTGTCCCCTTCAGTCTAGTTAAGTTTCCTGGCCCTTACGGTGCTTTGAGATATTGTCTGCTCGTTTTTCATCCTGCTGACCCCAAACCCAACACACCCCACAGCTGCTGGCCATGGTGAAACCTAATGGTTAACATCAGAGTCCTGTGATCAAGTTCCCCACTTTGAGCGTGTTGTCTTAAAAGGACTCAAGCCACAACTCCTTTGAGAAAGCTTAAGTGATAACACCTATGGGTTTTAGTATAGCTGCAGTCTCACAGGTTCTCTCTCTCTGACTCTCTCTCTCTCCTCCCCCACCAGCTAGTTAAGCACTCTATTGCCTCTGGACTTCCTGTTGGCTGCCCATCAGCACCCCGACCTCTCCAGACCTGTAAGTAATAAATTTCTTCTGTTTCGTGCATTTTGGTTTCACTTCCTCATTGTCTCACCAGATACACACACCAGAATAAACTCCCCTGTCAGGACTCTCCTAGAAAGTGGTATCACGGCTCATGGCCATTCTCAAGAGAAAGATCTCAAGACTAAATTAGAAACCATTACAATGAAAATCACAACGATAACGAAAAGGGACTGCTTGTTTGTTACTATGAGCCAAAGAACTTCAGAGCCTCAGATTTTTCCACGTAAAAGTAACTTGAGGATCTTTTCTCATGGCTAGAGTTTGAATTTTCTCAAGTCTGCCTTTAAAACAACTGCAGTATGAGCTGCATCTCTGTTATTCTTACTGAAGTGAAATATTCACACTGCACTGGCTGGTAAGTGTTCTAGGAGCATGATGTAAATGTTCTTCCTGGAAACTACCAATCCATTTTGGCAAGACTTTAAATTATACTTGCAATCCTTTCTTCTCGCTTATTTGATAATGTATCTTTTCTCACTTTCTTCTATTCATTAATTTTTTTCTCTTCCATTATTTATCATTATGGTCTATGGCTGTTGTTTAACTCTCTAAGGCTATTTATACCACTTGCATGAATCATGCTACATAAAGTAAAATAGTACCACACCATAGATTAAGGAAACTCGCTTTCTAATATATGATTAATTGTAAGTGGCTACACTTCCCATAATAAATTAATATAAAATGTGCTCAGTCATATGTTATGGAGATATGTGATGCATAAATAATTTTTTATGCTTCACTTTAATCAGCATTTTGTACCAAGTCATATTATCATCTATAAAATGCTTTTCAATTGGTCCTAGGCAATCCAGACCACATAATACTTACTTCAAGGAAAAATAATGAATATTTTAATCTTAAATATTACATACAAATGGCAGTAAATAAAAGTTAATAGGATTTAGTTTCTTTCAAATTATTTTGATCATTTCTAGGCAAGTAATTTCTTTCATAAATCAGATCATATCTTTAATTAGGAAAAGTTGGTGTGCAATATTAAAACAAAGAGTTGGACTTAGAAATTGTAAAATATAAGCTTACGTTCCAGCTCAGCATGTCACTGTCAAAAGTCACTTCATATCTTAGAGTCTCAATGACTTGGTAAAAGGGGAATAGCACTAATGTCCACCCTGCCTCCATTGTGGGACTACTGTAAGCATCTAATACTATAGTGACCTTATGAGTGTTTTGTGCATTTTTAAAGCACCAACTACCTGCAAGGTGCAACTGTGATTTATTCCAGTATTTCAAAAAATGCATGTTCATTAATGTTTTCCTACACATACTTTCAGCACATCCATAGGAAACTCATAGTGCACTCCTCTGCATAACAGATGAACAATTAAATGCCTTTAAAATATAATTGGTAAAGGTACAAGTCTGCAGAGATTCTTTTCGGTCTACATTCCTCCCTTTCCAAGATCCCCTGTTCTCTTTCAGCAGCCAGCAAGAAGCTCTGAACACAGTATATCTTTGCCAGTTTGGTTTGATTTTTGGTGGTTTTTATAGCTTTTTGCCATCCTGCTTTTCCAAGCTACCCACGGTGCATCTGAGCAGATCCTTGAAACTGTCATGCATTGAAACCCCCTCTCTGCCTGTCAGTCTCATCTGCTTTAATCCCAGGCTACCAGCAGCTCAGTAATAAAACTGAGAAAACAAACTCACCATCTATTATTAAAAGTTTAACTCAATGATTGTTACTGCATCTATAGAAATATGTAGGCAACACTCAACCTTTCTATAGCCATATTTTTACCCTTTAAAAACTATTACAATATTCTCTCATGAAATAATGTAATTCTTTCACATTAATTAACTAAAGATGATTTCAAATAACCAGTGCATGAAGGGAAATAGCTGAGGCTCCCCAGAGTTTAGGCATCTTTGTCTGTGGATGATCCTAACCCTGAATCCTGATCTGAGTACCAGGAGAACTTCCTTCTTACCTCTTATGTTTATGCAACAGTAAGAAAAAAAAAACAGCTCAAATCTCATCTCAGGGTCTTCTACCATAACATTTTATTTTTCACTCCCACAGTCCAGATTGTGGTGGGGGAAGGAAGGTGGGAGGCAGTCAGCAAGAGTTTGGTTCTGCATGGTCATTCAGGCTCAGTGTGGTAGAGACAACCTCATCAGAGCCTCAACATTCACAAGGGCAGAGGAAAGCGAGGCCAGGAAACTATGCAGGGCCTGTCCTTGCCTTGGCCAAAAGTGACAACCATCACTTCTACTTATAATTCTTAGCAAGAATTGGTAACATGCCCCAATCCAACTGCAAGGGAACTGGTCATCTCTGTGCCCAGTAAGCAAGGGAGAACTGGGTGTGGTGGACATTGGTGAGGTTGACACCTTCCCCTCTTGCCAACTCCCACCCATGCAGAGAGGCTACCATGAGACCCCAACATGCTGGGATGCACTTGCTGAGTACCACCTCTCTGTGTAGCTGTTCACAGTTCATTTCCACATTCTCTCTGGCTTCACCACTGACCTTACTTACATTCAGGCTCTCCATGGAGTAGTTGGGGTAGGGGACGGCAGAGTAGCCAGCAGTGCCATAGGCCTTTGTATGTGGTCTTTGCCCATATCAGGGGCTGACCCCAGGAGATCAAGAGACACTCATGGGTTGTCACTGAGTGACAACCTATTTACTTGAATTTGTGAAGGAAACACAGACCCATTTCTTCCACTTGTTTCCAGTAACAACTAATTTTTTTTGCATGAGGGTTGAAAAATTTAATTTGCCTGGCTTTCCGCTGGAAACTCTGAAAGAGTTTTGAGCAGGCAGAACAATGGAAAAGGGAATTGCCTACTTGGACTTCCCCAATTTTCAGGGACACAGGGAATTCGGATGGCGAGCCCACCAGTCTGGGGTCCCCAGTGGCCACAAAGTCTTTTTCCTGCCCATCTTGATGCCTCAGTTTGAGGAGGTGGTGGTAATCCCAGTAGTAGCTTGTTTTTCCGTCTGAGAGTGACATCCTCTGATGCTGACTTGTGAACTCATGCCTCTCACGCATCATTTCAGAAAGACATTTTTACAAAATAGAGATGAGGCCTACATATTGCCATTTTAACCTGGAACTGTGTTTTAACCTAAATGATTCAAAATAAGTAGGAATTTGGGGCATGACGGTTTATATCTTAGGCGGCGAATCTAAAGCAATCTGAATACATAATATTTATGGCATTATGTAGAGTATCCCCTTTGAATAATCCAAAAGTAAAAAGGCTCTAGATGGCTTGGATATATAGAAAGACCTTAAGCCCACAGACAAACAGAATAAGGGCTGATTTATTTGCAGGTGTAAGCCTAGCTACTATTTTCCCCCAGGCCCACAGTCAGTGCTCATAGACACGAACAACTTATTTTTTTGTCCCCCAAGAGAAGATGTTTTCGATTTTAAAACATCATAAGGTTCTGACTCTTGAACTAAAAAAACAATTTTTCCTTTAGCGTTTACAAGTTAGATGGTTTAAAAGGGAACAGAAAAATATAGAGAAAATTCACAGTAATAGGTATTAATATGACACTGCCCCAATAAGGTACTTTCAGAACATGTTCTCTCATTAACCATTTCTAAGTGTGCTGAAAATATATTTAACTGTCCTGCCCTCTCCTGCATTTCATGTATAAATGCCAAAACCTAGAACTATCCTGATTCTTTACATAGGTAAAACATAAGTTCTCTTACAATTCTAAATATTATTCACTTCTATACTTATCAGGAATCAGTAAGCAGGTCCTAAATTCTGCATAGGAATTATGCCTCCAGAAAAGCAGAGAGCCACAGGCCAGGGCAGGAGGGACCCTACATAAACAAAGAGTGGAGGAGGCAGATGGCAGAGCAACTGCGGGAATGTGTGACTTGAACAGTATTGACTTTTTTTCCTTCTTACACGATTTCAAGTTTTAAAAATTAATGCCTTTAATTTTCTTTTCAAATTTAAAGTTTTAATGGTTCTATAAAATAGTGAATATTGCAAATACAATACAAAGACACTTTAACAGGAACATCTTAAAGCATATTCATTATTCCAAAGAAAATGCTGTGAAACTGGAATCTGAGGGAACTAAAATGTTGGTGTTCACAGCAAGTCAAGCTTGGGTGGTTCCTATTCACACACTAATGCAAGATCACTGTAATGAGGTGGGAACAGACTTCCTGCGAGCCACAGGCCGATCTATTAGAAGATGATCTTCCAGGCTACTTCAACTATCTATTTTAACTCAATATTAATGTTCAAAAATAATGTTACAAATAGCCATAGGATTATCTGTAGAAATACTTTTAGTGAGAATTTGTTTTACATTTCAAGATTCCAGAATAATTTCTACAATTTCTTGAAAGGAATTTAAACTTTTTATAGTCAAGCATACTCTATGTGTGGTCCCATATTCCAGCACTTGTTTCTGTGGAAATTGGCTGTTATGGTTTCACTGTGTCCCCATCCAAATCTCAACTTGAATTGTAGCTCCCAGAATTCCCAAGTGTTGTGGGAGGGACCCAGGGGGAGGTAATTGAATCATGGGGGCCAGTCTTTCCCGTGCTATTCTCATGATAGTGAATAAGTCTCACAAGATCTGATGGCTATATCAGGGATTTCCCCTTTTGCTTATTTCTCATTTTTCTCTTGCTGCCACCATGTAAGAAGTACCTTTTGCCTCCTGCTATGATTCTGAGGCCTCCCCAGCCATGTGGAACTATAAGTCCAATTAAACCTCTTTTTCTTCCCAGTCTTGGGTATGTCTTTATCAGCATCATGAAAAGGAACTAATACATTGACACAGCATCTGTGCCAAGCAGAGTCCATGCTAAAGGCTGAATAAATGGCACCTGGGTTGTGTCCATCTGATGGGTTAAGGCCAGGCTGCTAAGCCTTGACTCTTACCACAGGGCACAACTGCAGTGTTGGTAAGTGTGGATGTTAAACGCCCAAGAAGATATCTTAAGGTGGTCTATGTGCTTTCAGTATAAAAAATTGTCTTTTATTTTTCTGAAAAAGCTTGCTTTTGATGAAGGCTTAACCATCTGTGCTTTAATGAAATGGGTGAAAAATGAACTGTGATTAACAGATTTTATAATTTCTTTGTGTTGCTTCAGTTACTCCCTAAATTAACTAAATTTCTTTAAAAAAATTTTTTTAATTATTATTACACTTTAAGTTTTAGGGTACATGTGCACAATGTGCAGGTTTGTTACATATGTATACATGTGCCATGCTGGTGTGCTGTACCCATTAACTCGTCATTTAACATTAGGTATATCTCCTAATGCTATCCCTCCCCTCTCCCCCCACCCCACAACAGGCCCCGGTGTGTGATGTTCCCCTTCCTGTGTCCATGTGTTCTCATTGTTCAATTCCCACCGATGAGTGAGAACATGCGGTGTTTGGTTTTTTGTCCTTGCCATAGTTTGCTGAGAATGATGGTTTCCAGTTTCATCCATGTCCCTACAAAGGACATGAACTCATCATTTTTTATGGCTGCATAGTATTCCATGGTGTATATGTGCCACGTTTTCTTAATCCAGTCTATCGTTGTTGGACATTTGGGTTGGTTCCAAGTCTTTGCTATTGTGAATAGTGCCACAATAAACATACGTGTGCATGTGTCTTTATAGCAGCATGATTTATAATCCTTTGGGTATATACCCAGTAATGGGATGGCTGGGTCAAATGGTATTTCTAGTTCTAGATCCCTGAGGAATCGCCACACTGACTTCCACAATGGTTGAACTAGTTTACAGTCCCACCAACAGTGTAAAAGTGTTCCTATTTCTCCACATCCTCTCCAGCACGTTGTATCCTGACTTTTTAATGATCGCCATTCTAACTGGTGTGAGATGATCTCATTGTGATTTTGATTTGCATTTCTCTGATGGCCAGTGATGATGAGCATTTTTTCATGTGTTTTTTGGCTGCATAAATGTCTTCTTTTGAGAAGTGTCTGTTCATTTCCTTTGCCCACTTTTTGAAGGGGTTGTTTGTTTTTTTCTTGTAAATTTGTTTGAGTTCATTGGAGATTCTGGATATTAGCCCTTTGTCAGATGAGTAGGTTGCAAAATTTTCTCCACCTGTTCACCCTGATGGTAGTTTCTTTTGCTGTGCAGAAGCTCTTTAGTTTAATTAGATCCCATTTGTCAATTTTGGCTTTTGTTGCCATTGCTTTTGGTGTTTTAGACATGAAGTCCTTGCCGGTGCCTATGTCCTGAATGGTATTGCCTAGGTTTTCTTCTAGGGTTTTTATGGTTTTAGGTCTAACATGTAAGTCTTTAATCCATCTTGAATTAATTTTTGTATAAGGTGTAAGGAAGGGATCCAGTTTCAGCTTTCTCCATATGGCTAGCCAGTTTTCCCAGCACCATTTATTAAATAGGGAATCCTTTCCCCATTGCTTGTTTTTGTCAGGTTTGTCAAAGATCAGATGGTTGTAGATATGTGGCATCTCCTTAAGCTGATAAGCAACTTCAGCAAAGTTGCAAGATACAAAATCATTGTACAAAAATCACAAGCATTCTTATACACCAATAACAGACAAACAGAGAGCCAAATCATGAGTGAAATCCCATTCACAATTGTTTCAAAGAGAATAAAATACCTGGGAATCCAACTTACAAGGGATGTGAAGGACCTCTTCAAGGAGAACTACAAACTACTGCTCAATGAAATAAAAGAGGATACAAACAAATGGAAGAACATTCCATGCTCATGGGTAGGAAGACTCAATATCGTGAAAATGGCCATACTGCCCAAGGTAATTTATAGATTCAATGCCATCCCCATCAAGCTACCAATGACTTTCTTCACAGAATTGGAAAAAACTACTTTAAAGTTCATATGGAACCAAAAAAGAGCCCGCATCGCCAAGTCAATCCTAAGCCAAAAGAACAAAGCTGGAGGCATCACGCTACCTGACTTCCAACTATACAACAAGGCTACAGCAACCAAAACAGCATGGTACTGGTACCAAAACAGAGATATAGATCAATGGAACAGAACAGAGCCCTAAATTAACTAAATTTCTAAATTAAAGTTCTTTTAAAATATTTACTATCACTTCTAAAGTTTTTACTGTGTATGCTGGGCACTGTTCTAAGTGCTTTGCATGTATTAGTTTATCTATTCCTTACGACAATTAAAAGGTCAATTGTGACATTGGTATTAGGAGGTTGGGCCTTAGGGAAGTGATGAGATCATGAGGGTAGAAACTCATAAATGAAATTAGTGCTTTTATAGAAGAGGCCTCAGAGAGTTCTCTTGCCTCTTCTACCATGTGAGGACACAGGGAGAAGGTGCCATTTATGAACCAGGAAGCCATCCCTCAACAGATACCAAATCTATTGATGTCTTGATATTGGACTTCCCGGACTCCAGGACTGTGAGTTTGTTTGTTGTTTAAGCCACTTAGTCAATGATATTTTTGTTACAGCAGCCTGACCTGGCTGCAACCTTTCCCTAGCACAAAACTCCCTGCCCGAAGTTTCTTCTGTCTCCTGTGTTCTCATATTCTGCTTTCATTTGGGAATCAACACACCAGGACCTGCAGCAGTACAAAGTTTCATTCTATTCCAAGTACTGTAATTATTCCTAAAGGAAGTAGCGTCAGGTCACAGCAGAAGATGGTCTTTGGAAAAGGGGAATGGGTCAGTCTATGTGGCCTTAACTGATGGTCTACTCTTAGCAACAGGATCAGGTGAAGACCTGCAGGACAGACTCATAGGAGTAGATGTTGGAGAAGGTAAGGGATGGAATTGAGATTTACAGTGAGTCTTACAGGTCATAACAATAGCTAAATACCATAAAGAGAATATTAATCAGGCTATGTTGAAGTCCTAAACTTAGGTTTAAACATCACATTATATGATTATAGAAATAGACATCTATAATTCAAGGGAATGAGATATAACTTAGTAATCTGTGAATGATACTTTTCACTGAATGTGAGAATTACATATAGCTTGTATTATCCTGTTATCATGCTGTTAAAAGGACATACCCACAACTGGGTAATTTATAAAGGAAAGAGGTTTAATTGACTCACAGTTCTGCGGGCTGGGGAGGCCTCAGGAAATTTACAATCATGGCAGAATGGGAAGCAAATCTGTCCTTCACATGGCAACAGGAGAGAGAATCACCAAGCAAAGGGGGTAAAGCCCCTTACAAAACCATCAAATCTCATGAGAACTCACTCGCTATCATGAGAACGGCATAGAGGTAACTGCCCCCATGATTAAATTACCTCCTACTTGATCCCTCCCACAACACATGGGGATTATGGGAACTACAATTCAAGATGAGATTTGGTTGGGGACACAAAGCCAAATAATATCATTCCACCTCTGACCCCTGCCAAATGTCATGTCCCCACATTTGAAAACACAATCATGCCTTTGCAATAGTCCCCAAAGTTTTAACTCATTCCGGCGTTAACCCAAAAGTCCAAGTCCAAAGTCTCATCTGAGACAAGGCAAGTCACTTCCACCTATAAGCCTGTAAAATCAAAAGCAAGTTAGTTACTTCCAAGATACAATGGGGGCACAGGCACTGAATAAATATACCCATTCCAAATGGAAGAAATTGGACAAAAGAAAGGGATATAGGCCCCATGCAAGTACAAAATCCAATAGGGCGATCATTAAAGCTTAAGGTTTCAAAATAATCTCTCAGGTAGGGGCACAACGTTGCCAGTCTCTTTGCTAAAGCATAGCAAGAATCACCTTTATTCCAGTTCCCAACAAGTTCCTCATCTCCATCTGAGACCAACTCAGCCTGGACCTCATTGTTTATCCTTTATCCCAGTTCCCAACAAGTTCCTCATCTCCATCTGAGACCACCTCAGCCTGGACTTCATTGTTTATATCATTATCAACATTTTGGTTAAAGGCATTCAACAAATTTCTAGGAAGTTCCAAACTTTCCCACATCTTCTTGTCTTCTGAGCCCTCCAAGTCTCTAGGAAGTTCCAACTTTCTCCCATTTTTCTGTCTTCTTCTGAGCCCTCCAAACTGTTCCAACCTTTACCTGTTACCCAGTACCAAAGTTGATTCCACATTTTCTGCTGTCCTTATTGCCGCAGCCCACTCTCTGTGGTATCAATTTTCTGTATTAGTCCATTCTCACACTTCTATAAGGACATATCCAAGACTGCATAATTTATAAAGGAAAGAGATTTAATTGACTCAGAGTTCCATATGACTGGGGAGGCCTCAGAAAACTTAAAATCATGGCAGAAGGGAAAGCAAACACATTGTTCTTCACATGGTGGCTGGGGAGAGAAGTGGAAGCCAAGGGGGTGAAAGCCCCTTATAAAACCATCAGATCTCACGAGAACTCACTGACTATCACAAGAACACATGGCAGTAACTGCTCCCAGGATTCAATTACCTCCTTCCAGGTCCTTCCCATGACTAGTGGGGATTATCAGAACTACAATTCAACATGGGAACTGGGTGGGACACAAAGCCAAACCATATCTAGTTTTATTTTCTTTAACAGCATTCTATTTCTTTATTAATTTTGCTTTTTTTGTTAAGATTTTCTCCAGTGATAAAACATACCATTTTAATATCATTCTTCAATTAATAATGCATCTGGACTTTATATACAGTGTAAGAAATGGGTCAGTATTACTTTTTTCATATGAATAGTCAATCGATGATGCATTATTTATTGAAAATGGCATCCTTTTCCTTATGGCATTACAGTGGTACTGTTGTCATAAGTCAAGTACCTAATACATGTGGGTTTACTTCTGGACCCTTGTGTCCCATTTTCCAGTATGTCTGTCCTCAGCCTATACCACACCTTCATGATTCGTAAAACTCTATTGATTACATATATCCAGGTAATAATTGAAAATATTACAAGACCACACACAATACATTGATGTGAGGGTTTAATGAAGATAAATGGTGCAGGACAGCAAGAGAGAGAAGGCACTTGAAGAATCAGAGAGGCCCCAGTCTTCCAGGGACAGCTCTTAAGGCCCTTTCTGGGATTCATAGCATGTGCTTTATCTTAAGCGTTTGAATCCAAACTGGGCAACAGATATCTGGTCTCAAGGGAGACAAGCACAAGGCCACTGAACAGTGTCTTATATGAGTTAGCTGGATCTTCTGCTCAGGCCTCACAGGCTGACAGCAAGGTGCCCTCATCTGAGGCCCTGACTCCTCTTGAAGTATTTGAGTTGTTGGCAGATTTCATTTCCTCAGCTATAGGTACTCAGTTGTAGGACTGAGGTCCCATTTGCTTGTTAGCTATCAGCCAGAGATTGTTCTCAGCCTTGAGTTGTCCACTACATACCATCAGCAGCCCACTCTGCTCCAACAGCAGCCACAGCATAGCTGTTTGTTCTTCCTGGAAGCTGGCAAGAGTCTGTTTCTCTGAGTTCTTATCTGCCTTTTAAAAGGCTTCTGTGATCAGATCAGACCCACCTCGATAGTATTTATATTCTAAGGTGACCTGACTTGGGACTTAAATCACATCTGCAATATCCCTTCACAGAAGTAGCTAGATTACTGTTTGATTGAATAATCAGGGGACAGGAATAGTGAGGAGGGAGGGAGGAGGTGTCAACAGCATCTTTAGAAGCTTCTACTTCCATCTGGAGGTCATGCTTGAGTTGGTGCCCATGCTCTTTATCATCTTTGTCCTTGTCATATTGTCCAAATAGCTCTTGGGTATGTTTTATCTATTTTTCTGAGTCTTTTTATTCTGTCTTACTTTCCCTTTCTTCTGGAGTAATATCTCTTCTAAACAACGAATATAGGCCAATAACTCTTTTTTCTCAGCCTTTTTTTTTCATTAAAGAGAAATTCTGCCTGTCCTAGGATTCCTGCATCTATTCCAATTGTTTCTAAGATGAATTGATATAGTTTGAATATTTGTCCCTGCCTTACTTTCATATTGAATTGTAATCCCCAGTGCTGGATGTGGGGTATGGTGGGAGGTATATGGGTCATGAGGGCAGATCCCTCATGGCTTGCTGCTGTCTTTGTGATAGTGAATTTCTGCAAGATCTGATCATTTAAAAATGTGTGGCACCTCCTGCCCACTCTCTCTCTCTTGCTTGCACCTGCTTTTGCCATGTGATATGCCTGTTCCTCCTTTGCCATCCAACATAATTGTCAGCTTCCTGAGGTCTCCCTAGAATTCAAGCAGATGCTAACACCATGCTTCCTGTAAAGCCTTCAGAACTGTGAGCTAATTATACCTCTTTTCTTTATAAATTATCCAGTCTCATGTATTTCTTTATAGCAGTGCAAGAGCACCAAATACAGAAAATTGGTAGCAAGAAGTGGGGTGTTGCTATAAAGATACCTGAAAATGAGAAAGTGATTTTGGAACTGGCTAATGGGCAGAGGTTGGAAGAGTTTAGAGGACTCAGAAGAAGACCTGAATATGAGAGAAAGCTTGGGCCTTCTTAGATACTGGTTAAATGATTGTGACAAAAATGCTGATAGTGACATGGATAGTGAAGTCCAGGCTGCCAATGTCTCAGATAGAAATAAGAAACTTATTGGGAACTGGAGCAAAGGTCATGCCTGTTATGCCTTAGCAAAGAGCTTGGCTTCATTCTGTTCATGCCCCAGGGAACTGTGGAAGTTTGAGCTTGAGAGTGTGACCTAGGGTATCTGGTGGCAAAAATATCTAAACAACAAAGTATTCAAGATGTGGCCTGGCTGTTTCTAACAGCTGATGCTCAGATGCAGAACAAAGGAATTTTCTAAAGTTGGAATTTATATTTAAACCATAAACAGAGCATATAAATTTGGAAAATTTGAAGCCTGACCATGTGACAAAGAAAGAAAAAGCTTTTTTGGTGGAGTAATTCAAGCAGGCTATGGAGCAAATTGTTGCTAGAGATATTTGCATAACTAAAATGCAGCCCAGTGCTAATATCCAAGACAATGGGGAAAAGGCACTGAAGACGTTTCAGAAAACTTCGTGGAAGTCCCTGCCATCACAGACACAGAAGCCTAGGAAGAATGAATGGTTTCATGGGCCAGGGCCAGGGCTTTGTTGCCTTGTGCAGCTTCAGGACACTGCTCTCTATGTCCATGCCATTCCAGCTGTGGTCTCAGATCAAAGGGGCACTGATGCAGCTTGGACTGCCACTTTGGAGATTGCAAGCCATAAGCTTTGGAGGCTTTCACTTGGTGTTAAGCTTGTATATGCACAGAATGCAAGAATGAAGAACAGTTGGCAGCCTCTGATTAGATGTCAGAGGATGTATGGGAAAGCCTGGGTGCCCAGCCCAGGCAGAGAACCTCTACTAGGCAGTGCCAAGGGAAAATGTGGGATTGCAGTCCCCACACATATTCCCCAGTGGGGCACTTCCTAGTGGAGCTGTGGGAAGGGGGCCACTGTCTTCCAAACCCCAGAATGGTAGATCCATCAGGAACTTGCACCCTGTGCTTGGAAAAGCCACAGGCACTCAACTCAAACCACAGGAACAAGCACAGAGCTGCACCCTGCAAAGCCAAAGGGGTTTGGGAGCCTGCCCCTTGCAGCATTGTGCCCTGGATATGGGACATGGAGTCAAAGGAAATTATCCTAGAGCTTGAATATTTAATGACTCCCCTACTGGGTTTTAAACTTGCATGGGGCATGTAGTCCCTTTCTTTTGGCCAATTTCTGTCTTTTGAAATGGGAATGTTTACTCAATGCCTATAACTCCATTGTATCTTTGGAGTAAATAACTTGTTTTTTATTTTACAGGCTCATAGATGGAATGGATTTGCCCTCTCTCAGATTAGACTTTGAACATTAAGTTAATGTTAAAATGAATTAAGACCTTGGGGGACTGTTGGGAAGGCATGATCATATTTTGCAATGTGAGAAGGAAATGTGATTCCAGAGAAGCCTGGGGTAGAATGATACAGTTTAAATATTTGTCTCTGCCAAAATCTCGTGTTGAATTATAATCCCCAAGGCTAGAGGAGAAGACCAGTGGGAGATATTTGGATCATGGAGACAGAACCCTTATGACCTGGTGCTGTCTTCAGAGTAGTGAGTGAGTTCTCATGAAATCTGTTCATTTAAAAGTATGTGGCACCTCCTCCCCACTCTCTCTTGCTTACTTCTGCTTTTGCCATATGATGTGCCTGTTCCTCCTTCTCCTTCTGCCATGATTGTAAGTTTTCTGAGGCCTCCCAGAAACCAAGCAGATGCCAGCACCATGCTTCCTGTAAAGCCTGCAGAACTGTTAGCCAATTATACCAGTTTTCTTTATAAATTACCCATTGATATTTTTTGGCTGTGTCCCCAGCCAAATCTCATCTTGAATTGTAACCCCCACAATTCCCATGGGCCATGGGAGGAAACCATTGGGAGGTAATTGAATCACGGGGGCGGGTTTTTCCCATCCTGTTCTCATAACAGTGATTAAGTCTCTAGAGATCTGATGGTTCTAGAACGGGGAGTTTCCCTGCATGAACTCTCTTTTTGCCTGCTGCCGTTCATATAAGACATGACTTGCTCCTCCTTACCTTCTGCCATGTTTGTGAGGCCTCCCCAGCTACACAGAACTGTAAGTCCATGAAACCGTTTTTTCTGTATAAATTATCCAGTCTCAGTATGTCTTTATCAGCAGCATGAAAACAGACTAATAACACCCATTTGCGGGTATTTCCTTCTAGCTTTGCAAGAATGGACTAAGACGCTCATTTAGGCATTTCTGCCAATGCTGGTTTACCCAACAAGCATGTTGTGGCAATCAAGTGATTATTGTTTGAAGACAGTAGGAGTATATGTTTTGGATCCCCCCAAATTGAGTTCCTCATCATAGTGTCATCTAGGTAGTTGTCATCCACAAATAGACTTTTGTTTTAGTGCATCAAAGAGCTTTCTTTGGCACATTAAGCAAATATATGGGCTAGAAGTAGCAGATATGTGAGCCTACCAAGTCATCTAAACTAAGATTGCTTTAAGGTTCCCTTTCTTTCTAAAATTTTATTTTATTTTATTTTAAATTCCGGGATACATGTGCAGGACATGCAGTTTTGTTACATAGGTAGACGTGTGCCATGGTGGTTTGCTGCACCTATCAATCCACACCTAGGTATTAAGCCCGGCAGGCATTAGCTATTTATCCTGATGTGCTCCCTCCCCACACACCCCCCACAGGCCCCAGTGTGGTTTGTTGCCCTCCCTGTGTCCATGGGTTCTCATCATTCAGCTGCCACTCATAAGTGAGAACATGCGTTGTCTGGTTTTCTGTTCCTGTGTTAATTTGCTGAGGATAATGGCTTCCAGCTACATTCATGTCCCTGCAAGGACATGATATCATTCCTTTTTATGGCTGCATACTATATTCCATGGTAAATATATTCCATGGTATGTATTTACCACATTTTCTTTATCCAGTCTATCACTGATGGGCATTTGGGTTGATTTCATGTCTTTGCTATTGTGAATAGTTCTGCAATGAACATATGCATGCATGTATCTTTAAAATAGAATGATTTATATTCCGTTGGCTATATACCCAGTGATGGGATTGCTGGGTCAAATGATATTTCTGGTTCCAAGTATTTGAAGAAATGTTACACTATCTTCCACCATGGTTGAACTAATATACATTTCCACCAATAGTGTAAAAGCATTCCTATTTCTCCACACCCTCACTAACATCTGTTGTTTCTTGACTTTGATAATCACCATGTGACTGGTGTGAGATGTTATCTCATTGTGGTTTTGGTTTGCATTTCTCTAATGATCGGTAATGTTGAACTTTTTATTATATTTTTCTTGGCCACATAAATGTCTTCTTTTGAGAAGTGTCTGTTCATGTCCTTTGCCTACTTTTTAATGAGGTTTTTTTTTTTTTCTTGTAAATTTGTTTAAGTTCCTTGCAGATTCTGGATATTAGACCTTTGTCAGATGGATAGATTGCAAACATTTTCTCTCATTCTGTAGGTCGTTGGTTCACTTTGATGACAGTTTCTTTTGCTATGCAGAAGCTCTTAAGTTTAATTAGATCCCATTGTCAATTTTTGCTTTTGTTGCAATTATTTTTATCTTGAGCATTGCCTTACACCCCCCAAAACATTATAGACTTTAGGATATGTGGTGCTGTGAGAAGCATGCAAAGAATTCTTTACATGCATTACACTCAGGTTTGAGTTGACAAAGACAGCATAGTGTAAGTGGTGGTAGAGGAGGTGACCAGCACTCATTAAAAATCCAGCCCTAAGTACTAATGAAAAACATTAGCTATTTAATTTTAAAAATATTCCTATGTAGGTAGTCTTGTTTATTAATGAGTAAATTGAGGCACAAAGAGATTAAATAACTTGCTGAAGCCTAGATTTGAACTTAAGACTGTGGGCTACTTTGATTGTCAGTTCACTCACTGATCCAATTTTCTCATCTGAAAAAAATAATTGCTAATAATCCTACATGCACAAGAATGTCATGAGTGTGAATTAGAGGATGTCAGTGTCTGAGACACACAATAATTGCAAAATAGCACTTGTCACATCAGATCTGTCATAGCTCTTCTCCAAAATGCACTTAGCCTAGGAAAATGGCATGAGATTTCAGAAAAAGTATCCACCATGTGTGTTAATGAAGATCCAGTGGTAGCAAGAAAATCAATATATGACATACTTTTTCATTATGATGTGTTGTGATGGTTCTATTTGCAATGTTTAATGGAGAAGAGTTATTTTAGTGCTTATCAGAGTTGTTAGAAAGGCCCTTTGGGACTGTGAATGCTTAAGTTTCTTCATTAACTAGAAAGATGAAAATCTGCCACTGGGCACTAAACGTATATTAATAAATCATTCAAGAGGATAAGGTCACTTCTTCAGTTTTATTCTCCAAAACTTAGGTGTTTAAATGTGTTGATATAGAGGGAAATGTCTACTCTGCTCATCAAAACTAAGAACTTGCTAATACAAGTTAGCTCAGTAGTGCCTCAGAAAAAATTAAAAAGCCCTGTTATTTATCCACAGCCCAAACATCACTGGATTGTTCTACATGTTCCTGAGATACCTAGAGTCATTCTGCCAAAATACCTTGTCATATATTAAAGTAATAATCCTCCTCCTAAACTGATTCATTCTCTTGCATTTTCTGTCATAGTTACTATCACTAACCATCTAAAAACTCAGGCTAGATTCCTGTGAATGGTTTTTAATTCCACTTCTTGCCTCACCTATAGTACCAAACATTAAATAGATATATTTTATTTTCTCAGAGTTTCTCAAGTCCTGTTAATGCCACTAAAACCATAGTATCAATGTCCTTAGTGAGAGGGATAATATACCTTGTTTAGATTGCTCTAAGGGCAACTTAATTTATCTTCAGGCCTTGGGCTTGGTCTTTACATCTGCCCTGCACAATGCAATTGGAGTGATCCTTCAAAGTAAAAAGGACCATTACATTCTGCTGATAGAATACTTTAATGCCCACAGCAGAGTCTGTAGTACATTGGAATCACACAATAAATATATGTCCAATAGCATGTTGAACTGACAGATGTGAATGGGAAAATTTTAGCCATGCCAACTTCCACAACTCCATTCAGTGCAAGAGAATGAATCAGTTTAGGAGGCCAACTTCCACAACTCCATTTAGTGACAAATGAATGTCTATTCCCAAACCTAAGAGAAAACTCAGGGATGAAGATCTGGATTTGATCACTGTCAATTTGTAGGTGAAAATGAAGGCCGTGGTAGAAAGTGTGATTGACTAAGAAGTTATAAATGTTTCTATAAAAAGGAGATATACACCATTAGCCACCAAATTATTTCCTATTTGATTCTTGCATATTATATTATAAGCTTATAAGTTTACAGTGCTTTCTAGCTAACAGAGAAAGAGCACACATATTAATTTACCTGAAACTTACAATAACTCTGTGATAGTTTAAATTTTATAGTTAATGCAAGTTAGGCCCAGAAAGGTTTAGTGAGTTGTCTAATATATTATGGCTAGAAATTGGTAGAATGTGGACTCAATTTCCAAGGTGGGGAAATCTTAGAATGCAGTCGACTTCACTACCTTTTATGTATGTGATAAGTTTTTGTTGTGTCCCCACCCAAATCTCATCTTGAAATGTAGTTTCCACAATCCCCACATGTTGTGGGAGGGACCTGGTAGCAGGTAATTGAATCATGGGGGTGGTTACCTCTATGCTGCTGTTCTTGTGATAGTGAGTTCTCATGAGATTTCATGGTTTTATAGGAGGCTTTTCTCTGTTGGCTCGGCACTTCTTCCTGCCGCCATGTGAAGAAAGATGTGTTTGCTTCCCATTCTGCCATGATGGTAAGTTTCCTGAGGCCTCTCCAGGCATGTGGAACTGTGAGTCAATTAAACATGTTTCCTTTATAAATTACACAGTCTTGGGCATGTGTTTATTAGCAGTATGAGAATGGACTAATACAGTTAAATTGGTACTGGGTAGTGGGGTGCTGCTCTAAATATACTCAAAAATGTGTAAGGTGTAAGCAACTTTGGAACTGGGTGACAGGCAGAGGTTGGAACACTTTGGAGAGCTCAGAAGAAGATAGGAAAATGTGGCAAAGTTGGGAACTTCCTAGAGACTTGGAGGGCTCAGAAGACACGAAGGTGTGGGAAAGTTTGCAACTTCCTAGAGACTTGTTGAATGGCTTTGACCAAAATGCTGATAGTGATATGGAAAATGAAGTCCGGGCTGAGATGGTCTCAGATGGAGGTGAGGAATTTGTTGGGAACTGTAATAAAGGTGACACTTGCTATGTTCTAGCAAAGAGACTGATGGCATTTTGCCTCTGCCCTAGAGATCTGTGGAACTTTGAAATTGAGAGACATGATTTAGGGTATCTGGCAGAAGAAATTTCTAAGCAGCAAAGCATTCAAGAGATGACTTGGGTCTTGTTAAAAGCATGCAGTTTTACGTATTCACAAAGAGATGGTTTGGAATTGGAACTTATGTTTGAAAGAGAAGCAGAGCATAAAAGTTCAGAACATTTGCAGCCTGATGCAATAGAAAAAAAATTTTCTGAGGAGAAATTCAACTCAACAGCATAAACTTGTCTAAGTAATGGGGAGCCAAATGTTAATCACCAAGACAATGGGGAAAATGTATCCAGGGCCTGTCAGTGGTTTTCATAGAAGCCCCTCCCATCACAAGCCTAGAGGCCTGAGAAGCAAAATATGGTTTTGTTGAGTGGGCCCAGGGCCTTGCTGCTTTGTGCAGTCTCAGGACTTGGTCCCCTGCATTCCAGCCATGGCTAAAAAGGGCCAAGGTACAGCTCGGGCCATGTCTTCAGAGAGTGCAAGCCTTGAGCCTTCACAGCTTCCATGTAGTGTTGAGCCTGTGGGTGCAAAGAAGTCTAGAATTTAGGTTAAGGAACCTCCACCTAGATTTCAGAGGATGTATGGAAATGCCTGGATGTCCAGGCAGAAGTTTGCTACAGGGCTGGAGCCCTCATGGAAAACCTTTGCTAGGGCAGTGTGGAAGGGAAATGTGGGTTGGAGCCCCCACACAGAGTCCCCACTGGTGCACAGCCTAGTGGAGCTGTGAGAAGAGGGCCACCTTCCTCCAGGCTCCAGAATGGTAGATCCACTGACAGTTTACACCATGCACCTGGCAAAACCTCAGGGACTCAATGCCAGCCCATGAAGACACCCAGGAGTGGGGTTGTACCCTGCAAAGCCACAGAGATGGAGCTGCCCAAGGCCATGGGAGCCCACATCTTGCATCAGCATGACTTGGATGTGAGACATGGTGTCAAAGGAGATCATTTTGGAGCTTCAATATTTGACTGCCCCACTGGATTTTGGACTTCCATGGTGCCTGTAACCCCTTTACTTTGGCCACTGTCTCCCATTTGGAGTGGGAGTATTTACCCAATGCCTGTACTTCCATTGTATCTAGGAGGTAAGTAACTTGCTTTTGATTTTACAGGCTGACAGTCAAAAGGGATTTGCCTTGTCTCTGATTGGACTTTGGACTTGTACTTTTGGTTTAATGCTAGAATCAGTTAAGACTTTGGGAGACTGTTGGGAAGGCATGATTATGTTTAGCAATATGAAGGCATGAGATTTGGGAAAGGTCAGGGATGAAATTATATGATTAGGCTTTGTGTCCCCACCCAAATCACATCTTAAATTGTAGCGCCCATAATCCCCACATGTCATGGGAGGGACCTGGTCAGAGGTAATTGAAATCATGGGGACACATACACCCATGCTGCTGTTCTTGTGATAGTGAGTGAGTTCTCACAAAATATGATGGTTTTATAAGGGGCTTCTCCCTCTTTGCTTGGCACTTCTTTTTCCTGCTCCCGCGTGAAGAAGGACGTGTTTGCTTCCCTTTCCTCCATAATTATGTTTGCTGAGGCCTCCCCAGCCATGCAGAACTGTGAGTGAATTAAACTTCCTTCCTTTATAAATTACCCAGGGTCAGGTATGTTTTTACTAGCAGCATGAAAGCAGACTAATACAGTACATATGCTACAGGTGTTGATTTTGCACCAGTTGGTCAGATTTGGAGACACTACTGCATGTCTGGCATTGTGCTTGGAGGTGTAATACAAAGATAAGGATGGCCCTGCTCCTCTGGCTCAATGTGAACATAAATAACTAAATATAAAACAATGTGCAGCCGGGCGCGGTGGCTCACGCCTGTAATCCCAGCACTTTGGGAGGCCGAGGCGGGCGGATCACGAGGTCAGGAGATCGAGACCATCCTGGCTAACACGGTGAAACCCCGTCTCTACTAAAAATACAAAAAATTAGCCGGGCGTGGTAGCGGGCGCCTGTAGTCCCAGCTACTCGGGAGGCTGAGGCAGGAGAATGGCGTGAACCCGGGAGGCGGAGCTTGCAGTGAGCCGAGATCACGCCACTGCACTCCAGCCTGGGCGACAGAGCGAGACTCCGTCTCAAAAAAAAAAACAAAAAAAAAAAAAAACAATGTGCAATTGTCATAGTAAAGATATGGACAGGAGATTTCAGAGCCACAAAGGAACCAGTGGTGACAAATAGAGGAGTGGCACAGATGAAGGTTATGAAATGCTTCTTCACCTGATGGGCTAGCCATCCACAGTGTCCATTGCCATCCATGTTCACCATTGATAGAACCATGTCCTGAGCATGGACATCAGGGTGGTGCTATTCTAGGTGTTGGCAAAATGGCAGTGAACCAAAAAGTCAGCATTTCTTCTCTCATGGAGTTTAGACTCTACTTGGAAGGGAGAGAAAGAAAATAAACAAAATATCAATGTTAATACTTATTATAGAACAAAATTAACACATGGAAGTAAGTGAATAAAGTTAAGAAGGATCACTTATAATTTTAACAGAATTGGTCACAAAAGGTCTCACGGAAAATATGACTTTCATCAAATATGTTGTATCAGTTTGTTATTGTTGCTTTAACAAATTATCACAAATGTTTTGGCCTAAAACACAAATTAATTACCTTGCAGTTCTAGAAATCAGAAGCCCCAAATCAGTTTCACTAAAAAACTCAAGGTCTCAGCAGGGCTGTGTTCTTCCATTTCCTTACCTGTCAGCTTCTGGAGTTTCTGTCTGCATTCCTTGCCTTGTGGCACCCTCTTACATCTTCAAGACTGACAACCCCAAATCTTTGAATGTTTCTCTGACCTCTGTTTTAATTGTCACAGATCCTTCTCTGACTCTTAACAGCTTCATCCTTTTCTTTATGACTACCCTTGTGCTTAGATTAGGGCTATTTGAATAATCCAAGATAACCTCCCATTTCACGACTCACATCTGCAAAGTCCCTTTTGCCAGGAGAAAACATATTCACAAGTCCCAAGGATTAGGACATAGACATCTTTGGTGCAGGGGTGGCATTATTCTACCCGCCACATACATGAAGGAGTGTAAGGGAGATACATACAGCTCATCCAGGGTGCACATTCCAGGCAGATTGAATCAAAAGTACAAGGATTCTGAGTCAGGGCTGTGTCTAACTTCTAAGGCATGGTAAGGAATCCACTGTGGCTTGTACGGCGGGACAACAGGGGAGAGGCATGTGAGACAAGGCCAGACAGGTAATGTGGGGCACCAGATGATGTAGGATAGTTTAGGTCATTGCAAAGATTTGGGCTTAAATTCAAATGAAGTAAAATAAGGGATAACTATGAAAGGTTTTGCACAATTGATTGGCATGTTCAAATTTATGCTTTAAAATAATAATCTGGATGACATCCTGAGAATGAACTGTGGAGGGGCACATGTGGAAGTCAGGCAACCAGAGAGGAGATGACTCCCCCAATGCAGCTGAGAAATGATATGGCCACTGAGGCCAGTGTGCTAACACTGGTGATGGGAAGGAAAAGAGATCAGTCACAATTACAAAGGTTTTTAGCCTGACAAACTAGCAGGATGTGGAGAAGCTTGCAAGAGGAATGTGTTTCTTAATGCAGCGTGGGCCAAGGGTGCAGTTCTTAGTCTGGTGAATTGGGAAAGCCTATTCAGATTTCAAATGAAAATGCTAAAAAGATGGGTGGATCTTCAAGCCTGTAGTTCAGCAGCAAGATCCAGATTGGAAACAGAAAGTTGGGTGGTCTTTAGAGCCCTGAGGTTAAATAAAATTACCAAGCTTTGGTAAGGAAGAGATTATTGCACCAACCAAGCTCTGGGGCCCTCCAATTAAGTAGTTAGGGGAGGGATAGGAGGAAAAATCTGGCAAGGTAACTGTAAAGGAATGGCAGAGTGGTAAGAACAAAGAAGAATTTAGTGTCAGGTAAGCCAGGTGCAGAAGGAGTTAAGGGAAATGAAGATTGAACATTAGATTTACAAATGTGCAGTGCATCAAATTGATGGAATAGGTTGGCAGAAGCCAAAGTGGCATAGGTTCAGGGATTATGGGAGGAGTAGCATCACTGGTAGCACCTATATGCAATGCTTTTGATAAGTTTAAATTTAAAGAGTAAGAAAGCAACTCTAAAGAGAAAGAAAGTATCTCTAAAAAGTAACAGATAATAGAAGTCAAGTAAGGTTATGTTTTTTTCTTGTAAATTGAGTGAAAAATGTTTGCTGATAGGAAACATCCAGTGAACCTGGGTAAATGGATCATGCAGGAGAGAGTGAGAATAGTAGCTAAAGTGATGACCTTGACTCAGCTGTGGCCTGGTATTGCATGCACCAGGAGAAGAACTGACTGTGTCTGGGATTCTGGGCCATGTAACCATAGCAAGAAGAGAGAAGGCAGGACAATGGGCAAAGATGGGTATATGTGGTATTAGGAAATAATTAAAGTGGTCTTATTTTTTCAGATTCTTTCAATGAACTAGAAAATAGCTGAGAATAAGAATAGGATGATGATGTTGGAGTTTCCAGGAGAAGATACAAGATTTATCTGGGAGAACTGGAGAGGAAATGAACTAAAAAATATAATAGAAATACTAGCCTTGATGAAGGATCCAGTTAGGTCATTGTTTATTAATTTACAGCGGAGTCAGTTAACAAGATTGTGCACTCTACCCCCAGGTTAATCATCTTCACTCGTACAGGCATAGGAGGGAAATTGCATTTAAGTAGGGTTAGGGTTTTGTCAAGCAGGGATGATGTAGGTTGCAACTCTAGGTGATTGCATGTTTTCTGCCACCTAATCTTTAGTAAAGCATGAACTGAAGTATGAATTCCCCAACTTCCTCTATTTGTCATAATCTAGGGATAGGTTAGGGCAGAAAAATATATCATGACTCAAATACAAAAATTCTGGTCCTAAAGTACCTTGACACATTTTCACAAAATCCTTGTTAATTTTTAGAACTCTATATCATAAAATCTGCACAGATGTGATGGTCCCCTTGCTGAAGGTGCTTGATCAATGGTAGGAGAAAGGATTTTCAAGAGCAAGCACAGTTAAGAAGTAAATTTATTTTCTGACTTTTTATAATTTATTAATTTAAGTATCATATACTTACTTGACTTACCTATAAAAAGGTACATAAACAATCACATACTAAAACACCATCTAAGGTCTTTCAAAAGAAGATGAGCAGTTAGTAAAAGGTGCATCATAGAAGTGGGAGATTATTGATATCCCTGAAAACAGTAGGAGGGTCAAAATTTATTTCCTATCACCCATACCTGTATTTTCATTGACATTTACACCTAAAAGAATTAGACATTGATTTACATCTTGCTGTTATGTCATCTTACACAATGGTGATCTCAACATTTAAATTGTATAATGTGTTTTCATTATTGGTGGTATATTTTTCATAAAAAATCTACTTTCTTTAAATAGATGCTTTATAAGGCATTGTTATTTCTAGGCATTTTCCACTTCTACAAACAAAATAATTTGTAAACATTATCTCTAATTTTATAATATGAGTCTAGAAATTGAGATACTCAATGTACAACTTAGAAACAGCTTTTTTTCTAGGCTCAAATCAGTCCCATGTAGAGAAGCACGCATGTGTTAGATGCTTTAGTGGCTTACTCAATTAAATACAACCAATTCAGCATCTGTGACTCCTCCCTATTGACAGCTTGACTCTAAGATTCCTTGTATCATTGCTTCAGATAACCATCTCTTTCAATAGTCTAAGCATTTGACTTAGATTTTAAACATAGGTAATATTTAAGGGTATAGAGCCCTCTTCATTTGCTGTAAATTCTGATCAAACCAAATATAAGTGGGAAGCAGATTAAGAGTAAAGTCACAAAAAAATCAACTTTTGAATATAACAAGATAAAAGGAATCTCTACCTATTTTTTTAACACCTGCAATTCGGTTATATATTGTTGTATTAGCGTTGATAAATTTGAGTACCTGCAGCTCCACATCTGGTTAATTCTAATTTAAATTCCAATAAAGGCATTGGTTCTCTGGTTAAAACACTCCCATAAAATTGGGTGGTCTTTACATAGTGAATTGTTGCCAGAATCAAGATGGTCCACAACTGTGTACCAGTTGGTCACACAAATAACTTTATATTGCTCCTTATAGAATATGTGCATGTCAATTACCGATGCTGCTGTTTTCATATAGATTAAATGAGCTTCAGTACTAATTTCACTGATTTATAAACTGTGACAATTTTATAGCCTACTTTAAGTACACTATGCTCATTGGGAAAAGCAGCCTCTATTTAGAACTATGTGACATGTACAAGCTTCTTTGCAAATATTCTTCAGACCATGTGCATCTGTGTGGTATGCTAAACATGCCAATGATTCATACCTGGAACTGGCTCAGATTAATGTCCATTGAGGGGAAAGAGAGGTCAATGTAAGTAGTAAATAAATAAGGCAGTTTCAAATGGAAAATACTCACTGAGAAGTGGAAATGCCCAAAATTTCAGTTTCTGGCTACCTATACGGGAGGGCGAATATCTTTTAACTGTGATTTAAGCTTTCGCTTTGTTGTGTTGTAGTTAATGAATACTTAGTATAAAGTAGCGTGGTGGAGAAGGCCCTGGTGAGGAGACACAAGACTCTTCATTGACTACCCAGAGTGACCTTCTTTCCTGGCCACAGTCCGCATCCACCCCACCCCTTTCTGTACCTTATAAACCATCCCACAGCCCTGGGGAGGATGTGTTTCCATGGGCACATGCAGGTGAGGCTGGGCCTCACCCCTCACTTCCCCTCATGACTGCAGAGAGCTCTGCCGTGGCCAGTCACGGGGGTGATGATGGGCCATCCATCACACATCCACATCGTGGAGCAAGCAGGGATTCTTTCTTGATATGACTGATTTATAACTAAGCAAAGCACTCTCCTGGGTGATGGCATTTATACTAGAATTTTCACAGCTCCCACAGAAACAGAGATCGTGTCATAAAACTCAGGAGCAAAGGAGATTGTCTGAACAAAGGCGCCATGGGAGAACGATGCACTCCTGGTGCTTAGGCATGCAGAAAGCATTTTCTTAAGGAGCTCTGCTATAAATTTAAAATACGGCATGTCTGGCAATTTCAATTTTTAACATCCAAGTCCTTAAAGAGAAGCAGGGCCAGACTCAAGAAAGAGAAGGAAGGTAAATTTTGGATGCAAATGAAGGCCAGCTGCAGTCATGGGGGGAGGGAAAGCATTAAGATAAATGTGTCTGCAGAAGGATTTATAGCAGGTCATTTCAGGTTATTCTCTGATCTGGAAGAACTCTCCACAACAGTACCTGGGAGTGATGTAGATATACTTTGATTGTCAAAGAAGGCTGGCCTAGTGTTTTCTTTTCAGAAAGGCCAGTTTTACTGTTATCACAAAAACCGCAGATGTCAATTCAGGACAAGGGAAGATACTTGGATTCAGAGCTAATCAGTCTAATTATGTATCTGTGGGGTGCTCCGTGGCAAGGGGAGGGGAGGCTGAAAGCACAGCCAAGCTGCTGCTGCCCTGTCCCGGCAGCTGCGCCCTCTGCAGAGACTCCAGGATGACTTGGCTCAAAGCCTCCTCCTAGGATGTTCCCCTTTGGATCACTGGGCAGTGGGAGCTGTCAGATAAGATTCGGAAACACAAGAAGCACGATGCTTATCTCCAACAAGGCAAGCCAGGAGGAGGTTTGAAAAATTGATTTGCTGCCCTCTGAGACTCAGTGGAGTGAACCAACAATATAGCAGACTATTTAGAAATCTGAAAGATAATGTCAGCATATTCTGAGCAAAGATGCCACTAACAACAAAGAAAGCACATTTCTTTCCAACCTCCACTAAGAAACAAAGTCAAACAAGTCAGATAGAAGCTAGGCCTGTGTTGCTGTTGAAATAATTGGTTATAAATAATATATTATTCAAAGAAATATTCGGTATTATCAACAGTGACCAAAGTTAAAGTAAATCTTATGAGACCACAATGCATAAAAAATAATCACAACTGGCTAGACACCAGAATGGCTCTTTCACATCCTGTAGGTAGAAACAGAATGTTTAAAAGGATTAAAATGATTGTACTCCTAGCGGGACAGGCCTTTCAGCAGGGCCTGAGATTATAGCATTCATAGGAATACAAAGGGTGATTCCATCCAAGGCAGCTCCAGCTGCCAGCTCACTTCAGGGTGCTGGGGAGATCTGCCCGGGTCTAGACCACTGTCCATCACCACCCATAACAATTAGGCCAGGCTGCTTTTCTCAAAGTTGACCGCAGTGGATGGGCTCAATAGGGACTTAGGAGGTAGAATCAGTAGGACTTGGCTACAGATTGAATGCAGAGGCTGAAGGATAGAGAACAGTTAAAATGATGCCCACTTGCTTTCTGGCTTGGGCAATGCAGTAGGAAGTGGTGCCATTCACCAAGGTAAGGAACACAGGAGGAGAAGCCAATTGGGAGGGGAGATTACTGGTCATGATGATCATTTTAATTTTGGACATCCTGAGTGTAAAGCACCTCTGGGATATGAAGATGGATGTGATTGGTAAGAAGTTGAGTTCTATGGTACATTCGACCATGACAAGCTGAAACAGAACAGAGAGTGGTATAGACAAGAGAAGCACAATGCTTTTCCCTAAGGATCACAACTGTCCAGCGTGGGAAACTCTGCCTCACACCCCTTCCTCCCTGGGGAAGCACATCCTCCACTCTTGATTCGCAAGGAAAGGGTCATTTGCTAGTGGAGCCTCTCCTAAGTGCCCCTTCTCTGTGGAGCGGATCTCTATCTACTTTGTGTCTCGGGAACAAAGATTTTTCCCTGTGACATCTCCTATCTTTCTCTTCTCATTTTCCCCATTTGTACAGAGACTCTTAATAATTGCATCATAGAGTTTTTATGAGCATGAATTGAGATAACATTCATTCAGGACCTCAAACAGTGCTTGGAACATGATAAGTCTTAATTTAGCATTTTAAAAATAAAATAGAGTAGCTCCAGCTAACTCTCACTGAGCAGTTATGATTACAGGATTGGTTTAGTAACTTATCCGAGCTCACAATGCAGAATGGGAAGTTAAAAGGGAACATGCTGTCAAAGGCAACGCGAAGGTTCCTCGGGACATAGATTCATATATGAATGTCCATGGTATTCCTGTAGCGATGGGGTTGACAGAATTAGTGTATCTTTTTGAAGGAAAATTGCTTTAAAACTTCTAATTTCACCATAAGTATTAAAATATATTTTTATGGGTCTGGCGGGGTGGCTCATGCCTGTAATCCCAGCACTTTGGGAGGCCGAGGTGGGCGGATCACGAGGTCAGGAGATACAGAACATCCTGGCTAACACAATGAAACTCCATCTCTACTAAAAATACAAAAAATTAGCTGGGCATGGTGGCGGGCGCCTGTAGTCCCAGCTTCTGGGGAGGCTGAGGCAGGAGAATGGCGTGAACCCGGGAGGTGGAGCTTGCAGTGAGCCGAGATCACGCCACTGCACTCCAGCCTGGGCAACAGAGCGAGACCCCGTCTCAAAAAAAACAAACAAAAAAATTATGTTGATTAGTGAGATCTGTTAGCACTGGGACCCTATATTTTATTCAAATAGGTAGAGTTATTACATAATAAATCTTAGATTTAAAGAAAAAAACAGCAAAATACCATACTTATAATCTTGCCAACAGTGGTTAGTTAAGACGTCAGGGGAAAGATGAATATTTTACTGATCATTTCTCGTAGAAATTATGTTGGGGATTTGCAAGTATTTTAAGGAATGGGAAAACAATCTTCCTCTTGGCATTTTAGGGAATATTACTTTGGTAGAAGTTATCTTAATTCTCAGAATAGATATCTAATAGAAAGACCAAGGCTTCCTGTAGCAATCACCAATCAAGTTTAAAGTAAACCCTACCACCATTTTTGATATTATTTTGGAAAATGTAGATAATATAATATTAACAAGAAAGTTACAAATTAAGATTTAGTTGCATGTAGAAAAAACCAACATCCTTGACTTTTTTATATTGTACGATTTGTTTTATATTCATCTCATCTTAAAACTGGAGGTATGTTGTATTTTTGTGTAACATATATACTCTATTAATTATTTTTCAGAAAATTAGATTATTCTTTCTCTGTATCTATAAACTATGAGACCTCTTTTGGTTTTGTTATAGATCCCTCAAATGCATTTTAAATGGCTATTTTCAGTTCATCATAAGAACAAAATCATTTCAGCAATATCACAATATTACAATGTTTTATTGTTTCTATTTTGTAAAAGTTTTAAAGAAAATCATCATGAACTGAAGTGTAGCAAAATACTAGCACAGATTTTAATATTTCCTCATGATAAATTTCAAGATTTGTTATTCTTTTAAAATACATTTGGTATTCTTTCAATTTTGACTTATTACTTTAATAAATTAAAAGATTTTGATAAATATTATCAATTGTTCCACAAAAAATGTAATACGTACCATTCACCACCTGCCCCTGGCACTCTAAAACTATGACTTTTTTATATACTTGATATTATCATTAAAAATATTTTGGTAAATGGTAAATTAAAATTTTAATCCCTGTTTTCAAAGTTATCAACATGGTTAAATATTTTCATGTATTTTTGATCATTATAACATTTATTTTGTATTATAGGTTTGTGCCTCTGTCTTTTCCCATTAAAAAGATTATATATTTAGTATTGAATTTATATTTATGTATATTACTCCATATGTAAATTACGTTAAAATAATTTTTGACAATTTGCATTTTCTTTTACATTTTTATTCATTTTAACTGTACAGAACTTTAGTTTTTATGACATTTAGTTTTTCAAGTTCTCCTTGATCAGCTTTTCAATGTCTTTATGCTACAAAATGACTTTTCATTCTTTTACATTTTCACCTTTTATATTTAACTCTTTAATTTAGTTATACTTTATTTTTACATCAAATAAATGATAGAGTTCTTATTTTATCCATCATGAAATAAACAGTTGTTTCAGAAATACTTATTAGATCATGCAGCTTTTCTCTAGACATCTGAAAGATGACATGTAGGTACAGATTTTTACAACCTTTTTTTGTTACACCAAAATAAATGGAACAGAAATAAAAATAAAAGTAAAATTATGAACTGTATACCATTAATGCTGATGTTTGTTGATTGGCATTATTGCCTACTGGATCATCTGTGGTTTCTCCCTTCCTTATCCTCCATGCTGTTCCATCATCAAATCAAATCCGTGACTTTCTACCTTTAAAAAGGCTCTGAAATCTGTCTACTGTTCGTCTATTTCTAACACTCTCATTCACCATGATTTCTCCCCGACCAACTTCAACTGCTGTCACTAGCTTCCTGTCTTGTCAATTTTGACTATATTACATTTTTACTAAGTGTAGCTTCTGTGCTGTGTTTTTGTAATGCATTTCCAACATCATGGTTTGCAGATATAAATTTTTCCAAGAATACCTGAATATTATATTTTTTAAAAATGCTATTATTAAAAAGTCAGAAAACAACACATGTTGGCAACGTTGTGGAAAAAGACTTACAGACTGCTAGTAGAAATGTAAATTAGTTCAGCCACTATGAAAAGTAGTTAGGAGATTTCTCAAAGAACTTAAAACTACAATTCAATCCAGCAATCCCATTACTGGTTATATACTCAAATGAATATAAGTTGTTCTACCATAAAGACACATACATTCATATGTTTATTGCAGCACTATTTGCAATAGCAAAGACATGTAATCAGCCTAGGTGCCCATCAGTGGTGGATTTGATAAAGAAAATGTGGTACATATATATGATGGAATACTATGCAACCATAAAAAATGAAATCATGTCCTTGGCAGCAGCATGAATACATTATCTTATGTAAATTAAATAGCAACAGAAAATCCAATACTGTATGTTCTCACTTATAAGTGGGAGCTAAACATTGAGTACACATGGACATAAAGAGGGGAACAATAGACACCAGAATCTACTTGAGAGTGGAGAGTGGGAAGAGGGTGAGGTCCAGAAACTAATTATCAGGTACTATGCTCACTACCTGGGTGACAAAATCATTTGTATACCAACTCCCAGTGACACATAATTTATCCACGTAACAAACCTGTACATGCACCCCCCTGAATCTAAAATAAATGTCGAAATAGAAAAAATATTTCTACCAAGTTCTATTTGTCCTAGACAAATAGAGTGTTTGCTATTTTCAACGTCGCCACTTCCAGCAGCAAAGAATAGGGCCAGTTCATCCTGAGTCTTTCTGGAGGGCAAAGACATCCCTACTTCTCTCTTTTCAGATGGTGATGACTGGTGAAGACCCTCCCATCTGCCATTTGACCTTCCTTGATGCTTTCTTCCTCCTTCCCCTGCCTTTCTCTTCCTGTTTCTAATTCTCAGCCAGATGATATTATTGTCTCAGGGAGCAGTCACTACAGAAGATATAGAAGAAATGGGATTGATTTATAAAACTTTTAGTAATATAAGCAGATAGATGAATATTTTTGTAAAAACTTAAATAAGGTTTAGACTATGTTAAGCCAAATAAATTCCATAGTTAAAATGTCTAGAGTTCAATAATTCTTACATTTTTTAAATGTAAGGCCATAAATATTGTTAAATAGATTACATTACAAAAGAATGGTTTATTATTTATTTTTGAGATGGACTCTTGCTCTGTTGCCCAGGCTGGAGTGCAGTGATGGGATCTCGGCTCACTGCAATGTCTGCCTGCTGGGTTCAAGCAATTCTCCTGCCTCAGCCTCTTGAGTAGCTGGGATTACAGTGTGCACCATCACGCCCAGCTAATTTTTGTATTTTTAGTAGAGACGGGGTTTCACCATGTTGGACAGGATGGTCTCGATCTACTAATCTCATGATCCACCCACCTCGGCCTGCCAAAGTACTGGGATTACAGGTGTGAGCCCCCATGCCCGGCCAAGAATGGTTTATTTTAAGATGAAAAATGTTTTAACTTTAAAGTATATCTTCCACATTTAATCAAAGCCGAATCACTCTAAATTCAATGTATTATGTAATTAATCTTGAAATGTTTTCATTTGTAAAGTAAATGCAATTTGTCATCAAATGTGAATAATATTAGTAGCAGCCTTTTAGTTACACGTTTTCCAGGTAATAATTCTGAATAAGTGCCAGTGAATTTGTACCGTTTTTGTCATCTGTTTCTATATCGATGTGTGTATGGTGGTACCATAGAGTTTGAGTGATGCCACTGTAAATGCATACATTTCCTTTGGGACATGTTAGAAGGAAGAATAGCAAAGAGCTAAATAACTCTAGAGAAAATAGAAAATGGACAGCTGAACACCACATACACACTGCAGAGGAAAATGGCAACTTGAATGTAATTTGAGAAAGAAAAATTAAGAAAATTTAAGAAAAACAAAAGGGCAGGACAGTAGATCATAAAATTCAATATTGTGTTTTGGTAACTTAACAAAATAATTTGGAAATGTATTTTAATCCTGTTTAGAAAAAAAGAGTGCAGCTCGCTGCCAGCACTCATGCATTAGGTGGGTGCAAAAGTATTTGTGGTTTTTACATTACTTTTAGTGGCAAATACCACAATTACTTTTGCTCCAACCTAATAGTTTTTACATAAACACGCTCTTTGAGGTTGAAGCACGTCTGATTGATTTTCAATGTGAAAATAAAATATAAAAATTGCTCTTGGAGTTATTTCTAAACAGAACTAACATCAGAATCATCTGAATCAGCAGAATCATCTATTTCACAAAAATCGAATTCAAACGAATCTTCAGCCAACAACTGTTCAAGAACACTGTCAACATACGCATAGGAATGCTATGTTTTCTAGAATTTGACATTTTCAGCAATCAAGAATTACTATATTTTGTAAATGGAAATACTACTACTGAAAACAGAATGCTATAAATAGAATAATGTCTTTTTTTTCCCTCAAAGTCAATATACCACAGCGATGCAAAAACAATAATAAAAGTGAGCTATTTTGCAGCAAAGTTATCTTGGGGTAAATGCTGAAGCCACAAGCACTGCCAGGGAGTATTCTCAGGGCCAATGGGAAAAAGGTTAAATAGTAAAATAGGGAAATTATGAAAAACAGAGAAATGAAGAAAAATTTGCCTTATGGTATTAAAGTGTATTTTAATACTATAATGGCTTTCTAATGGTTTATTCTTTTTCTATTATTCGAATTCTTGGATTCTCTTTTTTTCATACATTTTTCCTCAAATATTTATTGATTTCTGGTTGTGCACACATCTATGTGATCAGGGCTTTCCTCACTTCGTGGTAAGCAATGTTTCTGATGATCATATCCACCCTGGCTCCAGTGATTGGGATTTGGGAGTGGGTGTGTAGATGCTGCCTCAGTGGGCAGTTTCTGAATATGGGGACCCCTTGCATGGGCAGCCACCAAGGATATGCACCACTGTCTCTGGGCTTCCTGCCCAAATGCCCACACTCACTGCTCAGATCCAGGGCCTAGGGCCTCATGCAATTTGTTTCTGTTGCTTGACCCAGGCCAGGGGAAAGGATTCAGGGAAAAGGGTAAAGGTTGAGTATCTCATTTTCTTAGCTTGATTTTGATGTGGTTCTCTGAACTCAGAACAACCCAGAACTGTTCACTGTTGACATTTTGAGCTCTGTTCTTTTTTCTGTCAATCCATACACTTGAGCTCCTGTATTACAAGAATTTCTCAGAGTTTCTGATTCATTGATGTAGCAGTTTCCCAAGGTTGCAGTAAGAAATCATTAAGAACTCTGTGGCTTAAAACAACAGAAATTTATTTCCTCACAATTCTGGAGGCCAGAAGTCTAAAATCAGGTTCATGGAGCCAAAACAAGGTGTCATTGGGGCCATGCTCCCTCTAGAGCAGGGGTCCCCAACTGTTACTGGTCCATAGGCTGTTAGGAACTGGGCGGCACAGCAGGAGGTGAGCTGCAGGCAAGAAAGTGAAGCTTCATCTGTACTGACAGCCACTCCCCATCACTTGCATTATCGCCTAAGCTCTGCCTCCTCTTGGATCAGCCACAGCATTAGATTCTAATAGGAATGCAAACTCCATTGTGAACAATGCATGCGAGGGATCTAGGTTGCACGCTCCTTATGAGAATCTAATGCCTGATGATCTGTCACTGTCTCCCATCACCCCCAAATGGGACCGTCTAGTGCAGGAAAACAAACTCAGGGCTCCCACTGATTCTACATAATGGTGAGCTGTATAATTATTTCATTATATATTACAGTGTAATAATAATAGAAAAATAAAGTGCACAATCAATGTAATGCACTTGAATCATCCCCAAAACCATCCCCCTCCCCCAGTCCGTGGAAGAATTGTCTTCCATGAAACCAAAACAGGTCCTTGGTGCCAAAAAGTTTGGGGACCACTGCTCTAGAGGCTCTAGGGGAAGGCCCTTCCTTGCCTCTTCCATCTTCCGGTGGCTGTAGGCATTCCTTGAACTATTGGATGCATCACTCCAATCTCCACCTGTGTCTTCACATGAACTTCTCTTTGTGTGTCTGTCCAATCTACCTCCACCAGCCTCATGTAAGTACGTTGAGATTACATTTAGGGCATACCCATATATTCCAGAATAATCTCATCTCAAGACCCATAATTTATGCACATTTACAAAAACCATGTAAGGTATTATCTACAGGTTGCAAGGATGAGAATCTGATGCCTTTGGGAGGCACCATTCAGCACACCATAGCTAATGATTCTCTTTTTGGGTTTTTCAATTTTCTTGTGAATTTCTTTTTCCTTTCTCCCTTTGATTTTTACATTACTTACTAGGATTAATAAGAAAATATGTATTTTATATTAAATACATATTTTATTAAAGATAATCATAAATCATATATATGTATTATTTCTTTATGCATATATTTCATCTGCCATCTTACCTAATCCTGTAATATAAAACACAATAATTAAATCTGTATACTGTAGAAACTTTAATGAAAATATATATCCATAAATCAGAGTAGTGAAAACTCTGAAAAACACAGAAATACACTCAAGCATATGTAGGAATCTTGTAATATGATATGAAAAAAATTCAAATAAGTATGGAAATGATGAATTATATTTATGACATGTGTTGTGGCAATTGGCAAGCTATTTGGAGACAACAGGGAAATTGTACTTTTTCTTTTCTTTTCTTTCTTTCTTAATTGGCAAGCTATTTGGAGACAACAGGGAAATTGTACTGTTTCTTTTCCTTTCTTCCTTCCTTCCTTCCTTCCTTCATTCCTTTCTTTCTTTTTCTTTCTTCTTTCTTTCCTCTTTCTTTCTTTCCTCTTTCTCTTGATTCTTTTTGGATTACAGATTTAAGTATAAAAATATATTATTATAAAAAAGAAACACACAAGAACAAGGAATGAATTTATGTATATACTGAAGTAAATGCTACATTTAAATATTATTTAAATAAATTTGGGTATTACAAATTGAAACAACAATGAGGTAAATTAGATCGATTGCCAGATTGTTAAAGATAAAACAGACAAAACGCAGAGTGGTGAATTTATCAGTTAAGATTCTTTAGGTATTCAATGACAGAGAACCCAACTAAGAGTAGTTTAAACAATAAAGGCACTTATTATTTCAAACCATAAGAAGACCCCAAGTCCGCAATTTCAGAGTTGTTCCAAAGGCTCAGTTGTGATATTGAGAACTCAGGCTCTTTGCACGTTTCTGCTGTGATGACCTTAATTTAATAGACTGATCCTGTTGCTTGTTCTTTGAGTTCCAGGCATCAATGACAGCCAAATATACATCCAGAGGCATGTATTTTTTATCAGGGAAACCTTCCAGAGGCCTCCAGAGTATTCCCTTGCAGGTCCCAATGGTCAGAATTTGGTAATAGGTGAAGGTCCTGGCTTCAGGAGAGTCTGGGGAGTCTGTTTCTGGCACTGGCACATTCAGGCTTTGCAGAGGAATCAGACTCTTCAAGGGGGTATCCAAAGTGTTGTTCCTGATAGTTCATCAGTTTACTTAATTGAAAAATAAACTTTGCAATAGTAATATATTACCTATTCATGAGAAAAATAATAAATATTGCACATTTAACAATAAAAATAGAATGAATACTGCTTTTATTTTTCTTCCCAATTTTAGAATATAAAATGTATGCATTTATTTAAAATAGAAAAAAATAGATATCACACATTAATAAATACATAGTTCTTAACTGTAAGAAAATCCTTATTGATCTTCAGGTAATGGTATGACAAAAATCACTTCCCATGAAGATTCCCTTTAATAGCAGTTGCAGACAAAAAACGAAGTGATGATGTGATAGGACTTTTGAAAAGAGCCCTTGGTGTCATCTGCTTGCTGTTGAGATGCCATTGGTTTGCATTTGTGTTTCAGGTAATACCTCTGAAGCACCTCTCCATCAATAGTGAGTAACCTTTGTTTAATGTAATTTATGACATTTTCCCAACATGAAACAACCTTTAAGTGAGTCATTTTCCACCCATTCATTAGGACCTATGGCCCTCTATTTGTTTCATGGAACTACCAACCAGAGCATTCCTTGAATATCACATCACATCGTCTCCAAAAATTAATGACTTAAAACACCAATTCCTCCATGTTTAAATCAGCCCTTATAAGAATGATTCATTTTCTAAGAATTCTCTCTTTGGGTGTCTTCTAATACTAATACTTAAACATAAAATATCTTTTATTGTGCCTACTTGTAAATAGAGAATTTTGCAACATGTATAAAATATAAAATGAATATATCTTCTGATTCAGGATACCATTTCAGGCATTTATTCTCAAGAGACATTTGGCCTAATGAACAAATATAGAAATCGATGTTTTAATCATTTGGAATAGATCCAGTTGAATACACAATGCTGCAGGAACAGACAATGAACACTTAGCATCTTCAAAATGACAAAATTTATTTGTAGTTGCTGCTGCGTGAGCACTGCAGGTAGGCTGGGGTCTCTGCTTCATACCGCCTTGCTCCAAGACCCTAATCTCAAATGTGGTGGTCATCGTGGAAGAAAAAAGATCACTCTAGAGGGATGCAAGGTGGCAATTAGTGTTGTAGCCCTGAGGTGACCAATGACACTTCTATTAACGACTCACGTATCTACCTGACCAGTAGGTCCAGGCAGTGGAATTCTACCCTGTGCTTAGAATGAGGGAGAATCCGAATATTTCTGGTAAACAATTCTATGGACTACCATCCTTGCATCCCTGAGTTTTCTCTTTATGTTAAAAAATTGCAAACTATCAAAACAGTTATGAATGAGGCTCAGTTAAATAAGTTATTGTATATCTAAGGCATTGAAGTCCTATGCCACCATTTATGAGGTGATTTGAGTCAAAACTTACTGACATAAAAGATTTCTGGTAAATACTGTTGGGAGAATAAAGCACTGTTAATTTGTATATAATATTTGGTACATTTATGTAAATTCATAGGTGGATATATACAAGAGTATGGAAATAGCTATAGAAAGAAACTCAGATATGGTGGGTATGGCCAAGGAGAATATACTTAGGTGAGAATATTGATTGCTGTATTCAACTTTTCTCAAATATTTTTCTTATTTTCTCTCAATACGTCATTTTTGCAAATAAATTTTCCAGACTGGCTTGGATTTTATGGTTGTTTATTTTAGACTTCCCATTATGACTGTGGAGGGCTTGTGTTTATTATTATTTTATTTCCATATGTTCTTTCCTCAAATATGGGAAAAGTATTGATTTTGTAATCAGTCCACTAAATAGTCTATTATTATTTTAGTAGACTTGTCTTTGATTTATGTGCAAAACAATAAAACAATCTTACTATTCAAAATTGATGATATTTTAATGAACTCCTTTATAACAGTCATTCTTCTTACTACTGCTTGCCATCTTGTTGAAATAAATCAAGCTTATAGAATATTTTAAATAATAGTTAAGATGGGAAATTTTTTTTTTTGAGATGGAGTTTCACTCTTGTTGCCCAGGCTGGAGTGCAATGGTGCAATCTCAGCTCACCACAACCTCTGCCTCCCGGGTTCAAGCGATTCTCCTGCCTTAGCCTCCTGAGTAGCTGGGATTACAGGCATACACCACCACGCCTGACTAATTTTTTATACTTTTAGTAGAGATGGGGTTTCTCCATTTTGATCAGGCTGGTCTTGAACTCCCGACCTCAGGTGATCCGCACACCTCAGCCTCCCAAACTGCTGGGATTACAGGCGTGAGCCACCATGCCTGGCCAGATGGGAATATTTTAAATAATGGATAAGATGGCTAGTGAGATACTAGCTCTCTCACCATAAATAACAATGTAGTTGTATACAGTATATGTTGCACCTGTTTCCATCATTGAATGGAAACAGTGCAAAAGAGAAATCCCTGGAAAAAAAGGAAAGTTCTCATGGGGAGCTTCAAAATTACCCCAGTCTTGCCTGAGGACCCTTTCCCAAACATAGTACCATGAGAGGGAGTCAGGGCAAAACTCAATCTCTCACAGGATTAAGGAAGAAGTTGAGGTTTTGGATAGATGGAGGTGAATACAGTGGGGACCCACAAATTCTTCCTTGAGGTCTGGGTTGCACATGTGCAAGGCAAAATGCCAGAGGCCTACCATAGCATGGCTGCTATAGTCTAAGAACACGATAAAGATTCTACTGTTTAAACAGGGCCTCTCCGGAATGGATAGATGTCACTAACCCCTCATCAACACCAGAGGGATTCAGCCAAGATTCCACAGAGGCCATGATTCCCGAGTAAGAACCACATTCTACAGCAATGCCTGCTCTCAACTCATCGTGACAAAGCTTAAAGACTCAGAGGGAGGAGAAAGGGAGGAGGTGGAGAAATTAATCTAAACACGTTTGGGAATATCTTGGGGTTTCCTCAGATGATTCTTCTTAACAAAGTATAAAAGGAAGTCTTCACAAGTTCAAGATGTTGTGTTAGTAATTTAACTGCCTACAAAAACAAAAATTCTACACTCTTCAGAGGAAGATAACAAGATAACAAATTCCAAGGTCTTTAAAATGTCATTCACAATGTACAGCAAAAAAATATATATATATAGAAATTTTAAATGTAGAATAAGAGAATAAAATAAAATCAGAGAAAAAAATAAAAAGCATGCATGGATTGACCTAGATGTTAGATTTATTAGGCAAAGATGTAAAACAACTATTATACATATATTCAGAAAATTAAAGTATCATGTGGTCTTAAGAAGTGAATGGGGAATCTCTTCAGAGAAATGAAAATTTTATAAAGAATCAAATGGCAAACCTAGAACCAAAAAGTTTAGTAACTGTAATAAAATCACTGCATAGGCTTAACACCAGACTGGATATGACTGAAAAAAAGAATCATTGATTTTGGACAGATCCATAAAATAGTTTTAATTAAAAGACAAAAAATAATAATGAAAAATGAATAAAGCATCAGAGATTTGTGAGACAATATGAAACAATTCCAATGTATGTGCAATTCAAGTTCCAGAAGATGGTGAGAATGGAACATAATTTATTAAAGATATAACAAACAGTTCCAAAAATTGATTTAAAAAAATCTACCTAGATTTCCAAAAACTTAACCCAAAGCAGGGAAGAGACAAAACCACCTGGTACTTTATACTCAAACTGCTGGAAACCAAAGACAGAAAATTTGAAACTAGAAACATAAAAAGGAGACACTCCATCTAGGGAAATGGTGCTATCAATGAGAGCTGTAGAGTACAAGGAACAATAGCAACAACCATCCCAGAATTCTATGTCCGGTGACAATATCCTTCAAAAATGCGGGTGGAAAAAATACATTTTTAGATAAATGAAAGCTAAGCAGTTTCCTTGATAGCAGATGTGCACTACAAGAAATGCTCAAGGCTGTCCTTCTGGCTGAAGTGGAATGATTCCAGCTGGAAACTGATCTATAGGAGGGATGAAGAATGGGATCTAAATTGCTGAGTGACTTGCTGTAGGGCTCTGCCACTTTATGAATGGCAGAGGCACACACAAAGCCCAGGACTCTCAACTCCTAGTTTGCTCATTTTGTAGAGGGTCATGTGAGTAGAAAATCTGGATTGTTTGCAAACCCATCTAAGTGACTTGATCCAGAGTAATGTTTGTTCCTTTGAAATGGATCCAGAGCTCATATGCATGAATGAGGAAATGCCTCTGCAGGCTGTGAGCTCTGGGGACATGGGATCCCAAATCTGGTCTCCTGATGCACACATTTACGTCACTCTCTATTCACTCAGAATAAGAGTAAAACGGTGTCTCTTTCCTGACCCCATATGTTTTTTACCATAGTTTTTCTTCAATTCTTTGAAAAAGCTACTACAAAACAATGAAGAGTGTGAAAAAAATGTAGTAAAAGTAGTAGGGCACATATCAATCTAGAACCTATGCCCGTCAAGGTTGAGGACTTCTTTAATTAAAACACACTAAGTGAATTATAATTGCATTCAAAGAGATAAAGAAATGTAGCAAAATCAAAAATAGTACTGGCTGTAGGCAAATATGTCTTGCATCTTATTTTAGTGGTAAGGCCACCATCACGTATGAGGAGGGCTGTTGATTTCAAACAAATATTCATTATCAAGTTTTGAAAATGTGCTCCTATCTCCAGCACTTTATTGAGACTTCCAGCAACATGATGTACTTAGCTCACTTAGCTAACGTTCTGTCCCTAAACTCTGCCAGCACAAACTCATAAAAATGCAGAAGATAGTATAAAAATATTATATATATAAAATACCATATCGGATAGCATATATATACAACTGTGCATGCACATATATATGACATATGAACAGAGCTGGCACTATGTATCATGCATCACTGGAACAAGAAGCAGCAAATAATGCTGAAAACATGGGTTATCTGTATTGGGGAAAAAAGTTACATTGAATTCCTACAATACCAAGCACAAATACTTCTGATTAAATTAAAATTTAAATATGAAAAGTAAACATTCTGTTAAAAAGAATAATGAATATCTTATTTATTTACGGGCAGGGAGGGATTTGTTGTGTAATGCACAATGAAGAAACCGTAAGAGTAATAGCATGACTGCCATAAAATTAAGAACTTCCCTTTATTAAAAGATACTTTTAAAAGGTGGATAAAGTCCAAAAACAGGGAAGATATATTTGCCATCGATAATTCAACAAGGATTTGGACCTTGTATATATAAAAAACTCCTACATATTAGTAATTTAATAAGCAAATAAAAACAAAGTAACCAATTTGAGAAATAGGCAAAAAAGGTTAACAGGCATGTCACATCGGAGAGTGTATCATTGGTGAATATATATGTGAAAATATGGCAAAGTCTATTTGTAATAAAACAATTCAAATTGAATTATAAAGACACAGCATGTTTCACCCACATGATAACATAAAAATTAAAAAAACTACAGATTACAAATATTGTTCAGATTGTAAACCAAGAGGCATATTAATACACTGCTGCAAAAGATAGAAATTTATTTAAATACTTTGGAGAACAATTTGGCTTTATCTAGTGAAGTTGAAAATTCACAAAATCTATTATATTTTCAGCAAGAAATATACTTAGTCATAAGTTGGTTATTAAAACACACAGACAGACACCACAAAACCTAATGGTTTAAAAGTTTGAAAGTAACTAAATGATAGAAAACACAGACAAATAAAAGCAAAAAGAACACCGGTAGAGTAATATTTAAATTATTAAAGTATTCAGGCCCAAACCAGTATTAAGTAAAATGATCACTTAATGAAAGGAACAATTTACTGGGAAGACATAAAAATTGCAGGCCTGTTGAGCCTAGCAAGAAAGACTAATTCTAAAATCAAAATTATAAGTAAAATTGACAAATCCAGATCATAATTTTAGAGAATTTATCATATTCATATCAAAATGATAAATCAAGCTGGTAAAAAAATATATAACAGTATATAACAGTAATTTAAAAAGAATCAAATAAGACAATAAACAAGGCTGGTAATTGATATACTTACTCTTTTACCCCACAATTAGAAAGCACTTTTTTTCTAAAACAGATGGAAGATTTAAGATGCTAATGACACATGCGACGTATGAACAAGCATGGACAGCTACTGCTCATGTGCACCCAGAGCACCACCCAGAACATGCTTACTAGTAAAGCCTCTTCCCACCCCCTTATGAATAATCATGTAGGACTCCCATAAAGGGAGTCTTCCTAGTGCCATTCTCTGCTGTCTTATTCTTATGAGTAGCCCACCCTGAATCCAATCTTTCTTAGGGTGTCCTGTCTATTCTGTACTTAACTTTCAAAATATTATTTTTCTTTTGCAATAAATTGCATCTCCTTTGCTGTGTGTCTCTGTTTTTTTATTTCTTCTACAAAAACAAACAAACAAACAAAAAAAAGGGATACATGTGCAGAACGTGCAGATTTGTTACATAGGTATACATGTGCCATAGTGGTTTGCTGCACCTACTGACCCATCCTCTAAGTTCCCTTCCCTCACCCCCCACCCCCCAATAGGTTCTGGTGTGTGCTGTTCCCCTCTCTGTGTCCATGTGTTCTCAATGTTCGACTTCCACTTATGAGTGAGAACTTACTGTGTTTGGTTTAATGTTCCTGTGTTAGTTTGGTGGGGATGATGGCTTCCAACTTCCTCCATGTCCCAGCAAAGGACGTGATTTCATTCCTTTTTATGGCTGCATGGTATTCCATGGTGCAAACGTACCACATTTTTTTTTTATCCAGTCTATCATTGATGGGCATTTGGGTTGGTTCCAAGTCTTTGCTATTGTAAATAGTGCTGTGATAAACATACGTGTGCATGTGTCTTAATAGTATAATGATTTATATTCATTTGGGTATATACCCAGTATTGGGGATGCAGGATCAAATGGCGTTTCTTGTTCTAGATCTCTGAGAAATCACCATACTGTCTTTTATACTGGATGAGCTAATTTACATTCCCACCAAGAGTGTAAAAGCATTCCTATTTCTCCACGGCCTCATTGGCATTTATTGTTTCCTGACTTTTTAATAATCAGCATTCTAACTGGCGTGAGATGCTATCTCATTGTGGTTTTGATTTGTATTTCCCTAATGATCAGTGATGTTGACCTTTTTTCCAAATCCAGAAGCACATCAAAAAATTTATCCAACATGATCAAGTCGGCTTCATCTCTGGGATGCAAGGCTTGCTCAACATACACAAATCAATAAACATAATCCATCACATAAACAGAACCAAAGACCAAAACCACATGATTACCTCAATAGGTGCAGAAAAGGCCTTCAATAAAATTCATCAGCCCTTCATGTTAAAAACTGTCAATAAAATAGGTATTGATGGAACATATTTCAAAATAAGAAGAGCTATTTATGACAAACCCACAGCCAATATCATATTGAATGGGCAAAACCTGGAAGTATTCCCTTTGGAAAACAGAACAAGACAAAGATGCCCTCTCTCACCACTCCTATTCAACATAGTATTGGAAGTTCTGGCCAAGGCAATTAGGCAAGAGAAAGAAATAAAGGATATTAAAATAGGAAGAGAGAAAGTCAAATTATCTCTGTTTGCAGATGACAGGATTTTATATTTAGAAAACCCCATCATCTCAGCCCCAATACTCCTTGAATTGATAAGCAACTTCGGCAAAGTCTCAGGATACAAAATCAATACGCAAAAATCACAAGCATTCCTTTACATCAACAATAGGCAAGCAGAGAGCCAAATCATGAATGAACTCCCATTCATAATCACTACAAAGAGAATAAAATACCTAGGAATACAGCTAACAAGGAATGTGAAGGGCCTCTTCAAGGAGAACTACAAACCACTGCTCAAGGAAGTAAGAGAGAACACGAACAAACAGAAAAACATTCCATCCTCATGGATAGGAAGAATCAATATCATGAAAATGGCCACACTGCCCAAAGTAATTCATAGATTCAATGCTATTTCCATCAAACTGCCATTGGCATTCTTCACAGAATTAGAAAAAACTATTTTAAATTTCATATGGAATCAAAGAAGACCCCATATAGCCAAGACATTCCTAAGCAAAAATAACAAAGCTGTAGGCATCATGCTACCTGACTTCAAACTATACTACAAGACTACAGTAACCAAAATAGCATGATACTTGTACCAAAACAGATATATAGACCTACGGAGCAGAACAGAGACCTCAGAAATATCACCACACATCTACAACCATGTGATCTTTGACAAACCTGACAAAAACAAGCAATGGGGAAAGGATCTCCTATTCAGTAAATGGTGCTGGGAAAACTGGCTGGCCATATGCAGAAAACTGAAACTGGATCCCTTCCTCACATCTTGTACAAAAATTAACTCAAGATGGATTAAAGACTTAAATGTAAAACCCCAAACCATAAAAGCCTAGAATAAAACCTCGGCAATACCATTCAGGACATAAGCATGGGCAAAGACTTCATGACAAAAATGCCAAAAGCAATTGAAACAAAAGCCAAAAATGACAAATGGGATCTAAGTTGTGTGTCTCTTGTTTAAATTCTTCTAAACTAAGAAGACAAGAACTAAGATCTCACAACAGCCATTGACACCTTTTCCTTTCACTTGATGTTCTCCTTTTCTGAACACCTTCTCTCCAGAAATCTCCACTCTGTGGAATAGTGCCTGGTAAACCATCTGTGATCCATCAATATTTTCTAAAGGAATTAACTTTCCATCCTCTCGTTCAACTAGGTCGCAAATGAAAGAGCATGAGTAACTCTTCATTCCACAATTGTTTCAATAGATTTGTAGCTGTGACAATGACTCACACCATCTTCACCTCCTCTTACCCAACTTGAAACAAGAGAGAGGCAACTGCATTATATGTGAGCTTAATCAAGGGTTTATGGTTATTTTCCAGTTGCCTGGATATTTAGGTAAACGTGCAACCATTGTTTTTGTCTAATTAATGAATTCACTTTTTAGGGGATGCAATTTGCAAATTTGAGGAGAAGGAAAGGTTGAGAATTTAAAAGGGGAATAAAAGCATTCTGCCTTAATAGTGACCAAGGATTTAGTTGTGGGTACAAAAGAGAGGAGAGAGAGGAAGGAAAAGGAAACACCAAAGCCAAGAATGGTGATGGAGGCCGGAAAGTGTGCAGGCATTAAAAAAAAAAAAAAAAAAAAAAAAGGCAAAGAACAGCTTTAAGACCAAAGATGTCTTATATGCAATTTCAATTTAGTTTTACTATGATGTGAGACTTCTGATCCTCTGCCCCTATAAATATTCAGATAAATCTGCTACTCTCAGTACTTGCACAGGAGTTTTTGTTTGTTTGTGTGTATCATCACGAGTGTGAAGAAAAGTGACAATTTCCAGCTGGTTTCACACGGTCAATGCCCAAAAGACTTGAGAAAATCCATAACTGCACTCTGAAAAATGGAGTATGGAGCCAGGGGTGACCAGGGAAGGACAAGCGGCTGGGAATACACCTCAGCTGTGGAGATAGAATTGACTTCCCATAGGCACAGAAACTGGGCATCTATGAATTCCATCTTTATTTCTAGAGGCAGAGCTGACATTTAGGCTACCATGTAAATAGGCGAAGTGGCGCTCAGGCCTGTAATCCCAGCACTTTGGGAGGTCGAGGCAGGTGGATTACTTGAGGCCAGGAGTTTGAGACCAGCCTGGCCAACATGGTGAAACCATGTCTCTACTAAAAATACAAAAATTAGCTGATCATGGTGGTGCATGCCTGTAATCCCAGCTACTTGGGAGGCGGAGGTATGAGAATTGCTTGAACCTGGGAAGTGGAGGTTGCAGTAAACTGAGATTGTGCCACTGCACTCCAGCCTGGGTGACAGAGTGAGACTCTGTCTCAATAAATAAATAAGTAAATAAGTAAATAAAGAAATAGGTGTAGTGGACAGACTTCAATAAAATGAAGAGTGAAATAGAAGATAGAGATCTATTCTTTCCCTGAAACTTTATGAAAGTACAAAATTCATTCTATCTTAATTATACAATGCAAGAAACATCCACACACACCTTCACAGTAAGATCACTGTGACCGTACAATACATAGGTAGATATTAGCCATAAAAATACCCATTCAGTAGTGGATAAGGGCAATTCACTTTGATATCTTTCAATACTTAAAACAATCATATCTGGAACTTTTGGGTAATACCTGTCAGTAATTTTTCTCTAAATAGTGAAGATAAAGACCTACTTCAATTGTAAATGAAATCCATAGAAAGCTTTCTCTAGTCATTTGAATGTCAATGATGTTAATGTTATTACTATTTTAGAGAACAGAAAATTCTAATCTCTGAAAGTCAAAAGGAAAAGCACATTTTAATTATTCATAAGCTGCATTTATTTATATTGTTAGGCTGTGCATATTTTTTCCCAAAAATCTGTTATTTTAAATGGTTTTTTGTTATATCAATATTTTCAGTTAAAAATTAAGAAACATATTTTTTCAAAAAATGTGAGTTGGTCTTATCCAAAAATATTACCCACATCTGCCTCTCTAAATTACTCCATGTATTTTAATCTTTTATCTGGCATAATAAAGAAAGACAAGCTAACAAGGGTTGAATTTTTACTGCTGTGGGGATGGGTCTATGTCTCCTTTTGGCTTGCACAGCGGTGACATGCAAAGAAAGTGACCTCAGGGACCCATGACCCTTTCTTGCTGCTCTACCCTTTCCTAAGTCTGTGATGAGGCAGAGACTGCTAGTTGTCCACAAAAACCAATTTTTTCTTTTTCTTTTTTAAATAATAATTTATGTTGATGAGTAAGAGTGTTTGGATCTCCATGAAGTGAAGGTTTAGGAGTATGAAATTGTAATGGTTTCTATTAAGAATGGAGTGGCCTGGAGAGACAGAGGTCTTTAAAATGTTTGGTAATAATAATAGTAATAATATTTAATAATATCTAATATCCAAGAATGTATCAGGCAAACTGAAGTAACTTATCTATTTTTAGTTCTCAAACAACTTTTAATATATACAGAGAAGATATATTACCCCCACTTTAAGACAAATGGTTGACTAAAATAAATTCATGATTCAAGCTAGGAGACAGGTAAAGTTTAAGACCATAATATTTGAAGGATTAGAATTATAAATGTAAATTGACTAGTGATGATGTTGATGAAAATGATAAATGATACTACTACTAATATTGATGATAATGACTGTCAGGATGTGATAGTAATATCTGGCATTGTTGTAAGAGGTACAATCATAATTTCCCATTTTAGGGATGAGAAAACTAAGAATCCAGAGTTTAAATAGCTTGTCAAGCACATGCAGTCAAAGATGAGAGTGAAGTTTTCAGCAACTTTAAATGTGAGAGAAGGCATAGTGGATAGAAAGACAAAGTGTGGATGAAGATGAGCCAGTGCGTTGGTGGAAATTGGGTGATTGCAGCGAGAAAAAATTTCATAAGAATAAAAGTTGCTGAAGGATGGCTGTAAAATAAATATGTGTATAAACCATGCTGGCTCATTCTTATCCAAGGAAGTTGAGGGTAGTCATGAAAGCAGAGAGTAGGAGAAAAAGCAGAGACTTGTGAAATTTATGCCAAGGGAAGTAATCAGCAATTATTGTCATTGATTGTCCAGTAGAATTGTTTAAATGCTTGCTGTATAACTAAATCCTTACCATTCTTTGGAAGCATTTAACCCTTCCAATGCAAACAAGGGCAAAATGGATCAGTCAAATCAATTCCACAGTACTAGAGAATACATTAAAACAGGTTGATAAAAATGAGTAGTTAGGAAGCAGTTTCTTCATATTTTTTCTCTCTTCTGTGCCAAAGCAAGAAACAACGCCAATAGCATGCCAGAGAGGCTGAAATCCTTCCAAACCAATCTGGAAAACGCAAATGCTTTAGATAATAGGTGCACTCTAATTCAAATGCCTCAGGTTACATTAAAGAAACTTAACAGCAAATGGCAGTTGATTCTCTACCATTAAGGGTCTAATTAATTATCGAGTCTGTAAATCATTGAGGGCCCATGATTTTTTCTGGGAGCATGGAGCTTGAGCATCAATCAGATAGCACTTCCCCTAGAGGGAGAAGGAAACAATTATAATTAGTATATTTTGCATTTTGTGGAAAGTGCCTATAAGTAATCTGGTGGTAAAAATGGTGTGTTAGGCTGAAATAGCACCCAGAGTTCCACTGGTCCCTCAGAGCCATGCTCCCTGACAAGGGTGACAGACCATGCAGGGTTAGTGCTGGAATCCTGAGCAGTGGCTAGGAAGGAGTGGCCAGGCTGTGGCTTCCTCTCCCAGCCTGCTCTACTTGCTCCAGGCCCCCAAGTGTGTGCAACCTTTAGCTATTCTAGTCACACCAGGGAAGAGCTCCTGACCAAAGAGCTGCAGAAATAGAAATGAGTCAGAGCCCTATCCCTATGAGATGGAAGACAGCTAGGCACTAGGGGCACTTTAAAAACGTCTCTTCTAACAGAATTCGAACGAAATCTGCCATTTTCATTTTGTGCCTATCCTCAAATGCTCACTGCAGAAGTGGCTTTCTGGGACTGAACGGAGCAGCTGCTGCTTAGTAGGAAGGAGGGTGGAGGACTCCTTACTTGGCAGAAGCAGCCTGGTTCCCAGGTCCAAGTTATTGCTCCCCTCCCTGCCAAGGAGCCGTCTTTCTCCCTGCATCCAACAGGAAAACTGATTTGCAAAGCGAGGAGGGACACAGAGGTTGGCTCCGGGTTGCCAGGCTCCTCCACACAGGCCATTGCTTTGTTTCCCACCGCAGAGTTGGGATGCTCACTCATTTCATGATGACTCCTACAGTTCCATCCCCTTAGTGCTTCACAGGCAGCACGCTCTGTGTTTAAAGTATGGAAATGCAGCTTTCTCCTCCTCAAAGCTCTTGACGTTGTCAGGTCATAAAGCTAGAGATGCAGCTTCTATTTTGGGCATCAGTACACAGAATGCATCATATTTGTCCTCTTTATCTCATTGCTGTTAAGAGAAACATAAAGCATCATGAAAGGGTTCCTCCCTTTAGTATTTCTGTGCCTTTCCAAACAATAAGGATTCTGCTTTAAGCAATTCTAATCTTTGACATCTTAATAGTGTTTGTATCATCCTTTGCAAAAAGAAATTTCATGGATAATCCCATTTGATTCTCAAAGTAACTCTTTGGCCTAAGAAGGCAGGGTACTATTTTCAGTTTACTAACCAATCAATCAATCAATCCAAGCACAAGTTGCAGTTTACTATATCTGTAATTGAGAACATTTTCTTCCCCATTACTCCAGCCTCTTCTTCCCCAGGGGATCCTTATTTCTTCTTAGAGGCTTTTATTCCCATCCCAAATCCTATCAACCAGTCTTGAAAACACCGCGGTGGTTATAATGTGTCCATTTCCTCTGTGGCTGGGATTCGGATGCCATGTTTTGTGGGTGCTAAGTGAAACACGCTCTTCCTTTTCATCCCAGGTCTACTTCCTTGTCATTTATCACTTAGATTCTCAAACTGGTTTCCCTAGGTGCCAGTCTTTTCACATTATAACTTCCTGAATAACTATTTTTTTCTGAAGTATAGCTCTGATGATGTCACCCCTCAGCTTACAGGTTTTCAATAAATTCTGCACTTGCCCCTGAATGTATTATAAATTCTAGTATGTTATTTAAGGTCTTCAGTGATCTAATCCAAAGCTACATTCCTAAACTACAGTATCAACAACTAACTCAATAATACTGTTCCTACTACTAAGATTAGGTAATCTTTTATAGCACTTACTGGGTTTCAGGCCTTATAGATATTAACTCAAGAATTCTCAGAATAACATTGTAAAGACACTATATTAGTCTTCTGGGACTGCCATAACAAAATACTACAGACTGGGCTGTTTAAACAGCAGAAATACTTTTTTTAGAGTATTAGAAGTTGGAAGTCCAAGATCAAGGTGTTGGCAAGTTTGGTTTCTCCTGAGACCTTTCCCCTAGGCTTCTGAGGGCCGCCTTCCCTCTGGTCCTCACACGGTCTTTCATACATGGAATCATATCCCTGGTGTCACCACCTCTTCTTATAAGGACACCACTCAGATTGGAATAAGGCCTCATCTTTAGATCTCGTTTTATATCGATGAGGTCTTTTTATATGATCTCATTGAGATCATATGATTTCAATGAGATCTCATTGTATATCAATGAGGCCTTTTTAAGGCCTTATCTCCAATTGCAGCCACGTTTGTGGGTGAGGGCTTCACCATATAAATCTGGGGGAAGACATAATTCAGTCTGTAACAGATACTATTATTACAGCCATTTTATATAAGAAAATTAGAGACTGAGAAAGTTAAATGAATTTCTGAAGATTGTACAACTAGTTCTATGTCGAGTCATGAATTTTAACACAGGTCTTCCTGATCTTACTTAATACACCATAAATGTATGAGAATTGCTGCATGTTAAAATATCAAATATTTTGTAAGCACATGGTAGAATTTTTTGACAAGATTTAGCTGCTCAGCTTTCCTCTTTTCTTGCCAGCTGCCCAAACCATACACACCCTGCAAGGGCCCCTTCAAAGGCCTTGGGTAGCTTGTCCTTACCCCTTAGGTCTGAAGCACCATTCTCTGGACTCTGAGCTTCTCTTTCAACATCTCTAGGAAAACATAAGATATTTACTTTTTTAAAAACTTGGGGGTTTTGAGACAAAAATTTTATGTTGTAATTTATGTATCCCTTTTAGTGCACAGTTCTATGAGTTTTCAAAAACGTACAGTCATGTAACCACTTACACAATCAGATATAGAAATTTCCACTTCCTGAAGAGTTCATTGAGCCCTTTTGGAGTCAACACCTGCCCCATCCTAAGTCCAAAGTCATCATTAATTTGTTTTCTGACACATCTGTCCCTATAGTTTTGCCTTTTCTAGATTACAGTATAAATAGAATCACACAGTATGGAACATTTTGAATCTGGCTTCATAAAGTGTAACACATTTGATACCCAGCTGTGTGGTATGAATCAGTAGTGTGCTTCTTTTGATTGTTAGGTGGTGTTCCATTGTTTGAGTGGTTGTCCATTCATCAGGACAAGAACATTTGTGTTGCTTCCAATTTGGGGTGATTATGAATAGAGCCACTGTAAACATCCATGTAAAAGTTTTTGTATGAATATATTTTTTCATTTCTTTGGGGTAAATACTTAGGTTTGGGATTGTTAGGTGGCCTGAGAAGTTTATGTTTACCTTTGTAAGAAACTGCCAAACTATTTTCCAAGGTACCTTGATATTTTGTATATTCACCAACAATGTATGAGAATTGCTGCATATTAATGTCAATAGTAACTATACTGTTGTATTATAGACAAAAATGTATAACTTAATCCCACATTGCATTTCCTTGGTATTTCTTCTTAGTCTCCAGCAGTCTGTGATCATTCCTACATCATTCTTTCTCTTTCATGACATTGACACTTTTGACGAGTATTGATCAGCTTTTTTTTTTTCTAATGAGCCTCAATTGGAATTTTTCTAATTTTTGTAGTGATTGGATTTAGGTTATGCATTTTTGTCAATAATACAACAGGAAATATATAGTTACTATTGACATTACATATAGTTACTATGTAACTATATATTGAGTACTCTATATGGAGTTCTCTTTTTGTTCTCTAGTTTCATTGGTATTTAGTGTAATGGTATCTCATTGAGGATTTTGCTTTTTTGAAACAAAGTATAACTTTTCAATTTCATTGTCTATGCATGACAATATTTCATCAATTATTTATTTATTTATTTATTTATTTTGAGACAGAGTCTCGTTCTGTCACCCAGGCTGGAGTGCAGTGGCGCAGTCTCGGCTCACTGCAAGCTCTGCCTCCTGGGTTCACGCCATTCTCCTGCCTCAGCCTCTCGAGTAGCTGGGACTACAGGCGCCCACCACCATGCCTGGCTAATTTTTGGTATTTTTAGTAGAGACGAGGTTTCACCATGTTAGCCAGGATGGTCTTGATCTCCTGACCTCATGATCTGCCCACCTTGGCCTCCCAAAGTGCTGGGATTACAGGCGTGAGCCACCACGCCCGGCCTCATCAATTTTTATTCTACTTAGTATTTGCCTTCTTTTATTGTCATTTTTAAGCTTTTTAATTTGAATATTTTATAGAAACATCCCCAAAATGGCATAACTCTCATCCAGCTTTCTGTAATGCTAACATCTTATGTAAGCACAGTACAATGATCAAAACCAGAAAATTAACATTGGTACAATGCTGTAACTAATTGTAAGGCGTTATTTGAATGGGACCAATTTTTCCACTAATGTCCTTTTCCTGTTCCAGAATTCTACTCAAAATACCGCATTGCATTTACTTGGTATTTCTTCTTAGTCTCCAGCAGTCTGTGATCATTCCTCCATCATTCTCTTTCATGACATTGACACTTTTGAAGAGTATTGATCAGCTAATTTTTTCTAATGACTCTCAGCTGGAGTTTGTCAGATTTTTGTAGTGATTGGACTTAGGTTATATACTTTTTCAATAATACAAAAGGAAGGATTTGTTCTTCACATTACATCATATCACATGGTTCATGATCTCAACATTACTGAAGATCCTGACTTTCATTACTATCTTTCTCTTTGATTAATGGTTTAATAATTATCTTGGGCATTCACTGAGGTTTTAATTTGCCCTATCTTACTTACCTATCGATTCTTTTTTCTGTTTTATATTTAAGAAACTATTTTCTAGTCAAGTTAAAATAATTGTTTCTATATTTTCACTTCTAGAAGTTTTATAGTTTTGGATTTTTACATTCAGCTCTATGATCCTTTTCAGTTAATTTTTGCATATGATGCAAGATATGGATTGAAGGCATGTTTGCTTCTGGATGTTCCAGCACCATTTGTCAAAAGACTATAATTTCTCAATTGAATTGCTATAGTAATTTTGCTGAAATTCATTCACTGAATATGTGTGGATCTGTATCTATACTATCTATTATATTTCATTTACATATATGCATATTCTTTCTCTAGTATCTAGCTTTATTATTTTAGCTTTATTGTTCATCTTGAAATCAGAGAGTGTGAGCTCTCCAGTTTCACTGTTTTTATTCAGAATCATTTCATCATTTTAGTTCTTATTTATTTCTATATGCATTTTCATAACATTTAGTCAATTTATTTATATACAATTACTATAATTTTGATATAAATTCTATAGGTCAATTGGGGTGAATTTTCATTAACAATATTAAATTTTGCAATCCATGAACATGTTATATCTCGATAGTTAAGCCATCTTTGAATTATATCAATAATGTTTTGTAGTTTTCAACATATGGATCTTCCATATATTTGATTTATACAAAAGTACTTCATGTTTTTGATGCTATAATAAATGAAGCTTTTAAATTTTAATTCCTAATGGCTCATTGCTAATATATTTGAAGGTTTTTGATTCTGTATATTGAACTTGTACCCATAAATTTGCTATGGTAAATTATAAGCTTTTGTAATATGTTTGATCACCCTTTGTGATATTTTTCATAGACTTCCTTCAAATAAAGACAATTTTATCTCTTCCTATCTAATCTGCCTTTCTCTCCCTTCCACCTCTTTCTTTGATTTATTGCACTAGCTAGGATCTCCAGTACAATATTTAGTAGGAGTGATGAGCTGAATTGTTTTGCCTTATTCCTGATCTAAGGGAAGTAATACAGTCTTCTATAATTAAAAGTATGATGTTAGTGGTAGGCCTTAATTGATGTATGTCCTTTTTCAGGTTGAGAGAATTGCCATTAATTTCTAGTTTGCTTAGAGCTTTTAGCATGAATGGATGTTGAACTTTGTCAAATGCTTTCTCTGCAGCTATTACAATGATCATATATTTGTTTGTTTTTTAGATTGTTGACATGATGAATTACTTTGAATTTTGGCAAATGTGAAACAAAACTTGCATTCACATGACAAAACCTACTTTATCATCATGTATTATCTTTTTCATATACTGTTGGGCTTTACGCATTATTTGCTATTATTTGGTGGAAGATTTTTGTGTCCATGTTTATGAGGGATACTGGTGTGTAATTTTCTTTTCTTATAAACTCTTTGTAGGCTTTGGGGATAAGAATAATGCTGACCTCATAAAATACATTGGGAAGTATTTGCTCTATTTCCCATAACAGTTTTTGTAGAATTGACATTTTTTTTTCTTAAATATTAGGTAGAATCCATCAATGAAGTTACCTGGTCAAGAAGTTTTTGTTCTTGTACCATTCACCCTTGTTTTTTGTGATGCATTTATGCCACACAGAGGATGGTGCTCTAGGCTTTGGCTTGTCCCAGTGTTAGGCTTCTTTGTCTTGTTACTTAGTGCTTACTAGGGGTGAGGGAAGGGAAAGTCTCTGTTTTCTTTTTCCTTACCCAGTCCTAGGTAAGCCCAATTAACTGGGTTCTAGAGAATGGGAGTAGGTTTTTCTCGTGAGATATGATGGTTTTATAGGGAGCTTCCTCCCATTTGCACTGCACTTTTTCTCTCCTGCCACCATGTGAAGAAGGACCATGCATTTGCTTCTCCTTCTGCCATGATTGTGAGTTTCCTGAGGCCTTCCCAACCATGCAGAACTGTGTCAATTAAACCTCTTTCCTTTATAAATTATCCAGTCTCAGGCAGTTCGTAGTAGTAGTGCAAGAATGGACTAATACAGTATATTGGTACTGGGAATGGAGCACTATTATAAAGATGCCCCAAAATGTGGAAGTGACTTTGGAGCTGGGTAACAGGCAGAGATTGGAATAGTTTGGAGGGCTCAGAAAAAGACAAGAAGATATAGGAAAGTTTGGAACTTCCCAGAGACTCATTGAGTGGTTTTGACCAAAATGCTGATAGTGATATGGACAATGAAGTCCAGGTTGAGGTGGTCTCAGATGAAGATGAGGAACTTATTGGCAAATGGAGCCAAGGTCAATCTTGCTGTGCTTTAACAAACAGACTGGTGGCATTTTTCCCCTGCCCTAGAGACCTGTGGAACTTTCATCTTGAGAGAGATGATCTGAAATTGGAACTTATTTTTAAAAGGGAAGCAGAGCATAAAGTTTGGAAATTTGCAACCTGACAATGTGATGGAAAAGAAAAACCCATTTTCTGGGGAAAAATTCAAGCCAGCTGCAGAAATTTGTGTAACAAGGAGCCGAATGTTAATCACCAAGACAATGGGAAAAAATGTCTCCAGAGCATGTCAAAGGTCTTCATGGCAGCACCTCCCATCACAGGTCTGGAGGCCTAGGAGGAAAAAATGATTTTGTGTGCCAGGCCTAGGGCCTTGCTGTTTTATGCTGCCTCAGGACTTGGTGCCCTGCATCCCAGCCATGGATAAAAGGGGATAATGTACATCTCAGGCTGTTGTTTCAGATGGTGCAAGCCCCAAGCCTTGGCAGCTTCCAGGTGGTGCTGGGCCTGTAGGTGCACAGAAGTCAATAATTCACATTTGGGAACCACTGTCTAGGTTTCAGAGGATGCATGGAAATGCCTGGATATTCAGGCAGAAGTTTGCTGCAGAGGTGGAGCCCTCATGGAGAGCCTCTGCTAGGGCAGTGCAGAAGGGAAATGTGGGGTTGGAGCCCCCACACAGAGTCCCCACTGAAGCACTGCCTAGTGGAGCTGTGAGAAGAGGACCACTGTCCTCCAGACCCCAAAATGATAGATTCACCGACAGCCTGTACCAGGTATATGGAAAAGCCACAGACAGTCAATGCCATCCCATGAAAGCAGCTGGGAGTGGGGCTGTAGTCTGCAAAGCCACAGGAGCAGAGGTGCCCAAGACTGTGGGAGCCCACCACTTGCATCAGCATGTCCCAGATGTAAGACATGGAGTCAGAGGAGATTATTTCAGAACTTTAATATTTAATGACTCCCTTGCTAGATTTTGGACTTGCATGCATGTGGCCTGTAACCCCTTTGGTTTGGCCAATTTCTCCCATTGGAACGGGTGCATTTATCCAATACCCTTACCCAATTGTATCTTGGGAGTAACTAACTTGCTTTTGATTTTACAAGCTCATATTGTCTTGTCTCAGATGAAATTATGGACTTGGACTTTTGGGTTAATGCTGAAATTGTAGAACTGTTGGTGAGGCATAGCTGTGTTTTGAAATGTGAGAAAGATGAGATTTGGGAGGGGCCATGGTGGAATGATGTGGTCTGGCTCTGTGTCCCCACCTAAATCTCATCTTGAATTGTAATCCAAATTGTAATACCCACGTGTTGGGGGAGGGACCTTGTGGGAGGTGATTGGATCATGGGGCCAGTTCCCCCATGTTGTTCTTATGATAGTGAGTTCTCATGAGGTATGGGGATTTTATAAGGAGCTTTTCCCCCATTCACTCTGCACTTCTCTCTCCTGCTACCATGTGAAGAAGAACCATGTGTTTGCCTCTCCTTCTGCCATGATTGTAAATTTCCTGAGGCTTCCCCAGCCATGTGGAACTGTGAGTCAATTAAACCTCTTTCCTTTATAAATTACTCAGTCTCGAGCAGTTCTTTATAACAGTGTGAGAAAGGGCTAATACACCACTGCATGGCAGCTGGCATCAATTACTCTCATGGCTACTGCAGGTAAGTAAATGCTTCCCTCACATGTCCTTGGGGAGGCCTGGCTTGCCTTGGATTTCCTTGGGAGCCCTGCAACCGTGGCTCTCTTTGAGGCTCAAGAAAAGTTTTTTTTTTTTTCTAGCCATTTTTGTTGTTTTTAAGTGGACACTTTCTAGCTTTATTAATCCTAACTAGAAGTAGACCATTTTCTTTGAGAGTACCCTCTCCAGAAACTAGGGAACAAACAAAAAAGAAATTTGCATTAATTTATATATTAATTATATTTATATTAATATATATAGCCATTTTTTTACCTTTTTTAGATTATCAGCATCTGACTATATTTTCTCATCATGTTACCTAGCAACATGCACATAGGTGGTTAATAAAGAATACATTTAGAACTGCCAGGGAATAAAAGATGGTAGGAAAATTCAAATTTTCAAATTCTGGGACTGTGATAATTTCAATTGTATAAAATGTCAATGACCTACACCAGTGTTTCACTATTAGAAAAACAAAGCAGTCAGTACTACCTGTTTGCATTAAATAATGGCTCTTTAGAGTGTCTAGAAAATCATCCATCAGCAACAAGGTACAGTGACTCCAGTTTTATAATGTCCCACTTGTGTTAATTTTGTAACCTTCTTTAATAGTTTTATCCATGTGAATTCATCTTTTATCTCTGATAAACTGTTTTCCATGTATGACTTAATTTTGGAAATTGGTGTTTCTCCTTAAAAGTGATTTTATTGCTATTTAAATTAGTAGGACTGACAGAAATTCTTCTTTGATCAGCATTTTCCAGGAAAGTGGGGGAAGGAAAGGGAAGACAAGGAGCCTGTTACAAAAGGGTATTCAACCACTCTATTGTTGGGGCTGAAAATTTCCTTGCGCTTGAAACACCCCATTGACACTCACACTCTGGAAATAGAGACAGGCAGTGCCGGGCAACAGAGGGATTAGTTGTAATTGCTAAGTTCTTTTGAGTACATTTAACCAAGTAGCAGAAGCACATTCTTCCATGAATTCAGAAGCCTGCTAGCAGGCAGTGTTATATTACTCCTGGGTGGGAAAGAAATCATATGGGAGCAGCAAGAACAGCTCATGGAGAAAAATTACCATTTTATATTTATTACTTTGGCTAGCTTAAGTGCCATAGGAATAGACTCTCTAATGCATTAAAGAGCAATTCCCTAACAATTTGACTCTGTTGCTTGGTAAACTATTTTTAGGGACTGTCTCCGTCAGCTTTTAAAGGCACATGCCATCCCATTTTCAAAGGTTATTTTAGTGGTTTGTCAAAATGTTATAAATAACAGAATCTCTCTCTTCAGATTAGAGCAATATGGGACAAACTGGGATGAAATCTGTATTCTTGAAAAAAACATGGCCCACTTTTTCTTGCTTGGTATTTTTCATTGCTAAACTCTGGTACAATTCCGTTTCATATCTTTGATATGATGCTAATCTTGTAGTTTAGCTTGGCTTAGTTGAATAATCAGATAATAGGATTTTGTTGAAACCATGACTCAGAAGATAGCATGCACTTATCTTTGGCTGAGTCTAGATGCTAGGTGAATTTTGTTCCATACATGCACTGCTAGGTCAGCTCACTGGAGAAATCGCAGTTGCCATTAAATATGAAATGTACTCAAAGCACTTTCATCTTGACATACCCCAGGATTTACCTAATATGAAATGAGATCTAGAATCTACATTTTGATATTTCGTTTGTTGAACTGCACAAAACAGTAATAAGAAGCCATTCTGGGGTGCATCTCCCTGAATGAGACGATCCTAAGTGGATTAACTAATATCCCAAGGAAGTTCACATACCGTCAACACAAGAGGCTCCAAGGTTGTACAGGGTTTGTTAACTGACAAGCTGAGAACCTATGGCCCTCAAGAAGACTCACCATTGCAGTTATTACTTTTTATCAATTGAATTCCTTTTCTCCAGTAAGCTAATTATGCTAAGTACAGTATAAAGCACAAATCAAATGAAACAGGTTTTCTTATACTTTTTTTTCTCCAACTCATGGAGTTCCAAGTTCTTGGAAGATGTATGGCCTTTTAAAAAATATGTTCAAATAATTACATTCACTGGAGAACAGAAGTAATGTGATTCTGGTGAACTGCCTAAGAGATTAATTTTTAGCTCTTTCTTAGAATAAATGGTCTGAATTTTTAATATCGTTCATTAATCTATAAATATATAACACTACTGTGTTATTGTATATTATCATCTTCACATTGCTGCAACTTAAAAACTGACTTCTTTATAATATGCTAAATAAAGAAAACCAAATATAAATCAAGTAATAGGAAAGTAATAGTTGGTATATTGGATTTGTTGGTATAAGGCTCTTTATGTAAATTCTATTATAGTGAGTATAGTTCCTTCTGGCAATCAGAAAATTAACCATATTTTAACAATTAAACTGTAAACTTCTTGAAAGCAGGGGTCTTATCTACCTTTGTATTTAAGTGTTTGAGTATCTAGCACAACCAGTGTTCAAGACATGTTTACCAAGTAAATTAATTAACGGCTGAAGGGTGGATGGTTAAGGCTAAAATCTTTAATTTGACTGCATGAGGGCCTGATGAAGCCTGAATATAAATAAGTTTACATTAATTATCAAAATCACTGGAGATATTAACCTCTTAGAATAGGTTTTGTTATATTTTCCTCTTGAAAGGGCTTGAAAATGTGCATTAATGCTTTTTATTTTCTCGATATACAGTACTTTAATTCATAGGAAAGTGCATGTTAAAACATATATAAAATAAAATGTTTCTCTTCACCAAAATCTCAATTTTCTAAATTTAAAGCCCAAAATGTATTACTAGCAAGTGCAGAGTCTCAAGTAGGGTGCATGCCTCTCCCTATTTTCCAAGGTATATGGTCATCTGAAGGGTCCTTAAACACAGGATTCATGCTCTGAATCTTCTTGGATTATTGATTTTACTTATAAAGTTGGAAAAATCCACATTGTCTTTATATATTAAAAGTTAAAACAGCTGTCTAATGGGGTAAAATACACTTTCTGTTGTTTGGTTGAAAGACAAGACTTCAAATAAATACTAAAATCAGGGTTGGTCAATTTTCACCAGGAGCCCAAAGGCACCTAGGGAATGCTTGTTCTTTTTCTTCTGCCTGGAGTTACTTCACTGGAATTGTGAGAAAACACTGATATGATGCAAACACTAGTGATCTGAAGACTTGGGTTCAAACCATTCTTTTTCGTCTTGCAAAGTATAAGCGTGTGTGTATGCCGTAATATAATTCGGGGAAAAGGTGGCTCATGTATAAAATCATAACAAGAATTTCTTATCCAAAAGTTTCTTGGGAGTATTAAAATAATTATCTGTGAAATCCTTAGCCCATTGGATATCACATATTCAGCCCTCAATAAAGGTAGTTGACTGCTTGGTTGAATGTCAAGTCAACTTTCAGGTTACTTTCTGCTTATTATACTGTCACTGAAGCTAGAAAGGGACAGGATCATGCACTCTTGTTGACTGGAACATGGCTATGGAGAGCCTCTCATTGTTCTTTGTTCCATGGCAAATAGAGCAATGCCTTTCTATTTTCCCAGTGAACATTACTTATATAAATATATTTTAAAAATCAATCTAGGTTCTCTCTATTGCACCTTCTTGTTGGGTCACTGAAGTGTTGAATAACTGTTGGAGTCTTGGCTAAGCAGGAGCAATATTTGATGGAATCTGACATTGCTTTAATATTCTGGGACATTCATACACATATGCAGCAGCAAGTACCTGGTAAATTGCCCATTTCAAGGTACTCTGTGGATTTTTAAACTTTCGTGACAGTGTAATAAGAGAAATTTAATCTAAATTGACTTGACATTCAATAGGACATCCAACCAGACATTTCTGTGCTCTAAAATAATTCTATTTGTTTCTCTGGGCAACTTTGACATTCTTCTTGGCTGTTTTCAATCTCTAAATTATAAAGATGTAAAAGCCCTTTAGCTCACTGGCTGTCACATTCCTTAACCTGATTGCTGTGACTTCAGATCTGTCTCCTACATCGTGTCCACTTTCTTCACCTCTTTTTCTGTGGGTCTCACTCTCCTGCCTCCTTACTCTGTTCATGACGTGCTTTAACATGTGTGAATGAGTGAGGACATAAGCATATGACTTCACGTGACTTGAAGGACATGGAACCATATCCTGATGTATTGAGCATGACCTGACAAATCTTGTAAAGGATTGTAAGGGTTGGTCCAAGAGAGGACACAGGTCTTTTCATATTTATTTTCTTATCTTTTACCTCTTTCTTCATTCTCCATCTCTCTGTCTCTCTCGTTTTCTCTCCTTCTCTCTCTTTCTCTTGCTCTTTCTTAATTTTCACTTCTTGCTTGCTTTCACAACATAATTTATCTTTTCTCTTTACACTGCTTTAATTTCCTCTTGCTAATATGCTTCAAGTTCATTTACCAGTACATAATCTTTGTACCTGTCTTGTTAAGTCATAAAAAAAGACCTCACAGGTACACCAAGAGTTATAAGGGCACAGAAAAATTTATACTGTTAAGTTGAATTAAGTTTGGCCTAAAGGTTTCTCCATGCATGGAGAACTGCAGCCTAGCTTGCTGTGTAAACAGACTTTACCCATTCTTGTAACAACCAGCTCAGCCTCAACAAATCACCGCAGCCGTGTTGTAGCCAGTCACAGGCAGCCTACTGTTCAAACCTTGTTCAAGTAGGCCAATGCTGATCTGTACCCAGCCCATACTTTCTGTGCCTCACTTTGGTTTTCTTGCCCATAATTGCTATGCAGAAGGCAGCCCTGGTTCACTGTGCACTTACTGTGGTCTGGGGGCTGCCTGATTCACAAATCGTTCTTTATTCAATGTTCAATTAAAATCAGTAAAATCTAATTTGTCTAAAGTTTTAAAAAACTATATTAACAAGAAGAACATTCTTAAACTTGTTCTGAAACCTCAATTAAAACTTCAATACTACCCACATAGTGGGTGAGCCTAAAAACCCTATTTTGTGAGGGAAAATTAATTTGACTTGTTGAACATGTGATGTAATCATCCCAGTAGAATTAAGTATAGTCTCTGATAGCAGGTGCTTCCTTTTGTTTAATCTGGTAAAGTTAGTATTGCATGGGTTTGATGCTTTAAAAACTAAAGGAAATGGACAGAAAATGTAAATATTATTTAACTTAAATATTGGTCTAAATGTTAATGTGTATATATGCATGGCATGCTTGTGGTATCTTTCTAATGTTAACTGCCATTTAGAAATTAAAAGTGTCACATAGGTTTAACCAAACCCTTTAAATATTTTATTTATTGCCCCCTCACTCAGGATAGAGACAAAACAGAAACAAACACAAACACAAAGTAAACAGCTTCTTTGTGTTACCGGTGGAGGGATTCCAGGTTCTTGGCATCTTGAACAAAGAACTGGACAAAATGCACAAACAAAGCAAGGAAAGAATGAAGCAACAAAAGCAGAGATTTACTGAAAATGAAAGTACTTTCCACAGGGTGGGAGCGAGCCTGAGCTTTTAGGGGCTCAAGAGCCTCATTACAGAATTTTCTGGGGTTTAAATACGCTCTAGAGGTTTCCATTGGTTACGTGGTATACTCTCTATGTAAATGAAGGAGTTGAAGTAACATTGCAAAGTTATTTACTGGGTGTATGCCATAGGGTGTAAATGGAGAGGATATTTCCTGTTATAGATGAAGTGTTTCCATTTGATTTAGTTCTAGGAAGTCAGCATGAATTGGCCTTATGTTCCCTGCCTCCAGACCCTATTCTCCTGCCTCACCTGGTCCACAGACATGCTTTTTCAATGGGTAGATTGCTCTTATTTTTAATAATAGCAACCTTTTTTTAATAGCATCTTCCTGGATAACAGAATGCATCCCCCCATCTCTTGAACCGTTTGCGGAACCTTCCTTGGTGGAGTGGTGCTTCTTTGAGTCTTGACAGATGTAAACATCTAGGAAGGTGGAATCATGGCATGGGGCTCAGGGGTGCCTTGGCATAACTATGAGAAATAGGCTTTCTTCTCTCAGGTCCTGTTTTTCCTTCCTTGCCATCATCTACCTCCTTTTCCCTTAGCCACCTGTTGTGTGGACTCACACCATTTATGTTGAGTTCACAGCCATTTATATCATTAAGTAGATGATACAGAGAAAGAACAAAAGAAACACATTTAATTTTAATCAGGCCACTATACACAATGATGAATCAAGTGCTTCAGCAGTCACAACAATTTCTTTTCCTATGGTTCATAAGAAACTGCTCACTAAAACTTTGATTATGATTTAATGATTAAATAGAGATTTGCTATGGGGGACAGATTGTTCATTTTCTTGGTCTTTCTTTAAAGACCTGATTTATACTCATCTAAGTAAATAAACTACTTCCTGCTCTGTGCTCTCAGACAGTCTTTTATCTCAGCCAAGATGCCTGCATGTCCCCACAGCTTGACTAAACTTTAGACAGGTTTCTTCCTGACTTTAGGCTTCTGGTCTCCCTTTTGTTAGAGCATTTGCTTTAGAAAACTTGTCACTGTAAATTCTTCCTCTATCCCTTTGAGATGTAAATCTCCCAACCTCTTGTCTGAATTTCTGGCTCCAGGACTGGGACTGGGAGCCACCTCTTTGAAATGTAATCATCAAGAAAGATACTGCCTCTGTCTCCCAGTCGCTGTGGGAGAATAGGAGCCTGTGTTAGTCTGTTCTGTGTTGCTATAAGGGAATATCCAAGGCTGGGTCATTTATAAATAAAAGTTTGTTTTGGCTTACGGTTCTGCAGACAGTACAAGAAACATGGAACCATCATCTACTTCTGGTGAGACCTCAGGAAACTTCCACTCATTGCAGAAGGTGAAGAGGGAGCAGGCATGTCACAGGGTGAAAGAGAGAGAGCAAGAGAGAGGAGGAAGTGCCAGGCTCCTTTAAACAACAAGCTCTTGCATGAACTAATAGAGAATCTCACTCATTATTGCAAGGAGGGCACCAAGTCATTCATGAGGGATGCACCCCCATGACACAAACACCTCCCACTAGGCCCCACCTCCCACATTGGGGATCACATTTCAACATGAGATTTGGAGGGGACAACACATCCAACCTGTATCAGAGCCTAACTTTGATAAGCGCCATTAGCAAATGCAGCTGGTCTAAGCCTATTGGCCAGCCTCCCCGCAAGCCTTCCTCCAAGGACGAAAGTGTCTTCCTTTCCTGTTTAACTCTGTCCAGTGCAGTTTTTATATGACGGTCTTAGTGATGAAGGTTGTTCCTGGACTGTGAGTCTATCTGTCTCACTTCACTGTGAGTCCTGAGGTCTGGGAATAGGGACTAAGCTCCATTCATCTTTGTATCCTCCAGGAGTGGCCATACATCAGTGCCCTTGGGATAATTCTTTAAAAATTAAGTAAAAGTTAAAAATGCAGCAAAAATCCCAAATGATATCAAGGCAAATACAAACACTGATACACTGCATTCTAGGCCTGGGATTTCCAGTATTTTTCTTCTGCACCAATAAGCTTGGGGTATTATAGAGGTAATAGTTGAAGATACAGCGAAGTAACAGAACCAAAATCTCTGTGTAGACTAGGTTCAGAAAGGAAATACTGGCAAGATTTTTGTTGCTAAATGCTGTTTTTGATTCTAGCTCTGAATGGGTCATTATTATTTTCCAAATGAGGAAAAAGTCACTTTCTTCTGTAATTTTTTTGTTTATCCTACTAATCTGGAGTCAAAGACTGCTAGAACCAAAGGCAGCCTGAAAAGTATCAAATCAAAAGCTCTAGTGTTACAGAGAAGAAACCGGAGCCTGAAGGTTTATGTCGTTGCTCGCGTGATGGAATTACGTCTCTTGGCCTCTGTATAAAGCCCTTTCACTAAATTGTGTGATAATCCATCTGCAGCCCAAGAAGAATACCATGGAGCACATTTTAAATATGATTAGTCCTGCCTCCGTTGTTGAACATTAGCAAAGTTCTACTAAGCAATGACTGTTCAATTCATAGTGTATTACATTTCTCCTTGAAGCTTTTCTGAGTTTAAGATAGGTTTACAAATCCATGTTAATGTATCCAAAACTCTAAGAAACTCTTTTTCAATATATATGTGTATATATATGTAAATTCTATTTTTAACTTTATATTATTTTATAAAGTTTTATTTTTATTATTTTTTAAACTTTTATTTTAAGTTCAGGGGTCCACGTGCAGAGTTGTTACATAGGTAAACATGTGTCATGGGGATTTGTCATGCAGATTATTTCATCACCCAGGTAGTTAGCCTAGTACCTATTAGTTAATTTTTCTGATCCCCTCCCTCCTCCCACCCTCCACCCTACAATAGACCCCGGTGTGTATTGTTCCCCTCTACGTGTTTATGTGTTCTCATCATTTAGATCTCACTTATAAGTGAGAAGATGCAGTATTTGGTTCTCTGTTCCTGCATTAATCTTCTAAGGATAATGGCTTCCAGCTCCATCCATGTCTCTGCAAAGGGCATGTCCTCATTCTTTTTTTATGGTTGCATAGGATTCCATGTGTTTGTTATTGTGAATAGTGCTGCAATAAACATACACGTGCATGTGTCTTTATGATAGAATGATTTATATTCCTCTGGGTATATACCCAGTAATGGGATTACTGAGTCGAATGGCATTTCTGTTTTTAGGCCTTGGAGAAATTGCCACACTGTCTTCCACAATGGCTGAACTAATTTATATTCCCAACAATGGTGTATAATCATTCCTTTTTCTCCACAATCTTGCCAGCATCTGTTATTTTTTGACTTTTTAATAATAGCCATGATGACTGATGTGAGGTGGTATCTCTTTTTCCTTTTTTTTTTTTTTTTTTTTTTTTTGAGACAGAGTCTCACTCTGTCACCCAGGCTGGAGTGCAATGGTGTGATCTCGGCTCACTGCAACCTCTGCCTCCCAGGTTCAAGCGATTCTCCTGCCTCAGCCTCCTGAGTACCTGGGACTACAGGCATGTGCCACCACACCCGGCTAATTTTTTCTATTTTTAGTAGAGACAGGGTTTCACCATGTTGGCCAGGATGGTCTTGATCTCCTGACTTTGTGATCCGCCCACCTCGGCCTCCCAAAGTGCTGGGATTACAGACATGAGTCGCCACACCCAGCTTGAGGTGGTATCTCACTGTGATTTTGATTTGCATTTCTCTAATGATCAGTGATACTGAGTTTTTTTTTTATATATGATTGTTGGGAGCATGTATGTCTTCTTTTGAGAATTGTCTGTTCACGTCCTTTGCCCACTTTTTAATGGGGTTGTTTGGTTTTTTCTTGTAAATTTGTTTAAGTTCTTTATAGATGCTGGATATTAGACCTTTCTCAGATGCTAGTTTGCAAAAATTTTCTCCCATATATAAAAATTAACTCAAGATAGATTAAAGACTTAAATGTAAAACCCAAAATTATAAAAACCCTAGAAGGCAATGTAGGCAATACCATTCAGGACATAGGCATGGACAAAGATTTCATGGCAAAGATGCCAAAAGCAATTGCAACAAAAGCAAAAATTGACAAATGGGATCTAATTAAACGTAAGAGCTTCTGCACAGCAAAAGAAACTGTCAACAGAGTAAACAGCCTACAGAATGTCAGAAAATTTTTGCAAACTATGCATCTGACGGAAGTCTAATATCCAGCATCTATAAAGTTTCAAATATCAAAATAAAAATGATAATTCATGGGAGAAAGGCACCAGCACATTTGGTCAAAATCTCTTTAGGTATAATGCTGACAATATGCAACTTGTAAATTTTACTTTTGTAACTTTTTATTCCTAAGAAAGCTGTCAGCTTTTCATACCCTACCCAGCAATCATCTCCTTGTGCCAGAGTCCTTTTGAAAATGTAATAATCACTGAAACACAAGGATACCAGCAACATAAAGACGTTTTCACAGCTTTTAATTAACTCCTGGGATTTTTGTTTCAAAAAGTGCATTGTTTTAGGAGTAGCAATTATAAGCTATTTTGGCTCCCTCATTTACTCCTGGGTTTCTGACTGTTTCTTTTGGGTTTAGAAGAGAGAACAATTAGGAAAAGAGCAATGATAGGGTTGTTGCTTGACATTCCTAACCCAGCCCCTGATCCTGAGTCACCCTGGTCATAGAAACAAAGGCAGGGAAGTTAGGTTCATGATTTCTACCATACTCTTTTCTTGCAACTTCAGGACATATATTTTTGACCCTCATCTGCTCCTTTCCAAGTTCAAAATATCATCTCAAAAGCAGAGCTATGAAAAGTTTCTTCCCGATTGCTGAAGGTTTTGATAAAAAGAAATCTGAAAACGTTTCAGAGAAAGTGATAGCATAGTGGCCCTTTGCTGTTGAACAGTGAGATGAAACCCTACAAAAGAGTCCAGTCTGGCTTTCTTGATGATTTCCTTGTTTCCACTGGAATTTTTTTTCTACCAATTAAATGTTGTTTTCCTTTTTAGTTACATTTATGTCTCCATTTATTTATAATGTCATCTTAGCATTTCTCAGTCATCGTTTAGTCAAGATGTTAGGAATCAACAGCCTCAGTTTCTCCACTTTTTAATTCATTGTGTTTTCTGAATCCTCTTTTGTTCTCTCCATGTTACTATACAAATATTTCTGATCATTATCCCAGCCTTCATTTAAGGCAATGGTTCTCGACCCCTTTGGCACCAGAGACTGGTTTTGTGGAAAACAATCTTTCTACAGTTAGGGCAGGGAGGGAGGGAATGGTTTCAGGATGTTTCAAGTGCATTACATTTATTGTGTACTTTATTTCTATTATTATTACATTGTAATATATAATAAAATAATATTACATATATAGGATCAGTGGAAGCCCTGAGCTTGTTTTCTTGCAACTAGATGGTACTAACTGGGGATGAAAAGAGACAGTGACAGATCATCAGGCATTAGATTTTCATAAGGAGCATGCAACCTAGATCCCTTGTATGTGCAGTTCACAATAAGGTTGGTGCTCCTATGAGAATCTAATGATGCTGCCACTGATCTGACAGGAGGTGGAGATCAGGTGGTAACGCAAGTGACGTGGAATGGCTGTAAAAACAGATGAGGTAGGCCAGGCATGGTTGCTCATGCCTGTAATCCCAGCACTTTGGGAGGCCGAGGCGGGTAGGTCACCTGAGGTTAGGAGTTTGAGACCAGCCCCCTGTCTGTACTAAAAATACAAAACTTAGCCAGGCGTGTGGCACATACCTGTAATCCCAGCTACTAGGGATGCTGAGGCAGGAGAATCACTTGAAACTAGGAGGCAGAGGTTGCAGTGAGCTGAGATCATGCCATTGCACTACAGCCTGGGCAACAAGAGCAAAATTCCATCTCAAAAAACAAAACAAAACAAAACAAAACAAACAAAAAAACAGGTGAAGCTTCGCTGCTCACTTCCTGTGTGGTGGCCTGGTTCCTAACAGGTCATGAACTGGTATCTGCTTATGGCCTGGGGTTTGGGGACCCCTGATTTAAGGCACTTGTTAAGAGATGATATATCATTACCCACTAATTTTTAAATAAAAAGTCCAATTAAGCTATATGTAAAGATTTTTAAAATGTAACTTTATGGAAATAGGAAAAATGTTTAGTCTAAAATTTTCTGGGTTTCAACCACTTATTAAAAACCATGCTTGTTAAAATTAATTAACTTTAGTTGCTGTTACTTACTTATTTTTTAAGTTTACATGCATATGTATGATCTTTTTTGATATATGTCTCTTTGTTAATTTCAACCTCGTAATTTACAGCAATCTCAAGCTTGTTCAAAAATGGTAATAGATAAATTTTGAACAACCTGTTCAGAAGCACTCTGCAGTGTATTACCCTTGAACTATATATTGTTGTTTATTATAATAAGATGGAGATTATAACCTGTTGGTAATTTTTCCAATGTAGTTAATTTTATTTGTACTATAGTTGCCTTTTGAGCTAATTTTTAAAAAACACAATATCATCAAAAACTTAATTGAAGTCTAAACTGATAGCGTCTATTACATCATTTTTTCTTAATAAAAATTGTATTAAAATATAATTCATATACCATATAAATCACCCATTTGAGGTGTGTGATTCAATGTTTTTATATTCAGTGTTGTTCAACTATCAGTTTTACAAGTTTTAGAATACCTTGATCAACCCAAAAAGAAACGGCATGCCTAGTAACAGTCGCTCCCCTTTTCCCTCCTATGTATCCAGCCCTAGGCAACCACTGATCTGCTTCCTGTCTTTGGATTTCCTTATTCCAGACATTTCATACAAATGGGATCATATCATATGTGGTATTTTATGACTGGCTTCTTTCACTCACCAAGATGTTCTCCAGGCTTATTCCGTTGTAGTGTGTGCTGGTAATTCTTTCATTCTTGTTGTGCAACAGTTTCCATTATGGATGCATCACATTTTATACATCCATTTATCAGTTGATGGACATTTGGGATGTTTCCACTTTTTCACTGCTGTGAATAGTGCTTCTGTGAACATGAATGTACAGGTTTTTGTGTGGACACATGCTTCATCTATTTTGGTTGTGCACCTAGGAATGGATCACTAGGTCACATGGTAACTCTACATTTAACTTTTTGAAGAACTGCCAGACTGTTTTCCAGAAATACTGCACCATTTTATATTCCCCCTAAGAATGTATAAGGGTTCTAATTTCCCCACATTTCTGCCAACGCTGCTTATTAAAAATCTTTTGGAACATAGGTATCCAAATGAGTGGGATGTGGCATTTACTGTGGTTGTCATTTTACCTTCCTCTGTTCAATGATGTTGAATATCTTTTCTTGTACTTTTTGAACATTTATATATCTTTGCACTTACTTTTAACCAATTAATTTTGTAATTCTATCAAAAGCTAGCTTTATTTTGCTCTTTAAAAAATTTCTTTCTTAAATTTTTCATTCTCGATAACACATGATATCTTTTATTTGATTCCTTTTAGAACATTGACCCCTATGCTTCTGAGAGTGAGGATTTCTTCTTTATTAATGTTTCAGATCACATCTTCAAGTCTCTTTCACATGAAGCTGTCTACAACTTTTCCTGATTCCAAACAATGTGATTCTATGTGCAATAAGATTTTGGTTAGAACTTATTAATTATTATCATTACAAATAAATGTAAGTCCATTCATGTTTTGCATATTCCAATCTTTTGCATGAACATAGAACTGTGTGGCCCTGAGCAATCAGGTTTTTTATCACAACTGTGTCCTGGAATTCTCCCCTGAAAAAATCTGCTGAAACAAGTAACCTCATATTTAGTTTACCTCACAAATATTTATTACTGTGTCAAGGCATGAAACACAATATCTTGAAATCATTGAACCTAGTCTCCATTTTTATATTACAAATTGAATTCCCAGACTAATTTAACGTGCATGTGGCTTTTTTACAAACACTGTTAGAAATGAGCATTTTTGGAAGCTTTGCACACTACAAGGCATCTGCTAAAGGCTCTGGATGCGTCATCTCATTTAATTCTAACTACACTATGAAATGGGCAGATTTGTTTTCCCCACTTTATACATTAGACAAGATGCAGAAAGATTATACAACCAGTCAGAGGTTTGTAATAAGTAAAGGGTTAGGTAAGATGTAGAGCCAGTTAGCTGCCATAACATTGTCCCTCTTCTATGTTTTACTATTTCCTTAGGCTTGAAAATATCAGATTGAAAATTATTCAAGACATTAAATTAACCAAGACAGAAAATTAACCAAGACAGAGGCTCTTCGAGTATAACCCTCAAAGCTTAGCTCAAATGCTACCTGCTTTATGAAAGTGCCCTTCCTTTCAGTCTTGATGTAGTACCTCATTCTCTTCGCTCACAAAATGTTTTATTTGTCTCCCTTTCGTACCACTATTCACTGTTGGACTATAGAGACTAATCAGAACAGTATTCCCTAAGTGTAGAGACTGTCTTATTGACTTTGTTCCTTTTTTTTTTTTTTTTTTTTTTTTGAGACGGAGTCTCACTCTGTCGCCCAGGCTGGAGTGCAGTGGCTCGATCTCGGCTCACTGCAAGCTCCGCCTCCTGGGTTCATGCCATTCTCCTGCCTCAGCCTCTGGAGGAGCTGGGACTACAGGCACCCGCCACAGTGCCCAGCTAATTTTTTGTATTTTTAGTAGAGACGGGGTTTCACCGTGTTAGCCAGGATGGTCTTGATCTCCTGACCTCATGATCCGCCTGCCTTGGACTCCCAAAGTGCTGAGATTATAGGCATGAGCCACCCCGCCTGGCCGTGACTTTGTTCTTTAATCTCTGCTGCTTGCCTTAAACATGGCAAGTGCCCATTACAGGTTTGCTTTACTTAACTAAATTAAACTGTAGCCATATAAACAATTGTTCATTAAATGAAGACCTATTTTCAAGAATTATAACTTCTGATATATTACATTGGAGAAACATTGCAATACAGGTTTCCCAAGAATGATTACTATATTTAAACAAATCCTGCATGTTAATATTCACCAATGGTTTTCTTTGTTCTGATGTGAAAAGTTTACGAGTGTTGAAGAGCCCAGATATTTTGATCTAGTTCAACCTAGATTAAAATATTAATCTCCACATTAAGTAATCATGAGGCTTTGGGCAATTTTTAAAATATCTTTAAATTTCAATTTTGCCAGGTGCAGTGACTCACGCTTGTAATCTCAGTACTTTGGGAGGCCAAGGAAGGGTGGATCTCTTGAGGCCAGGAATTTAAGACCAGCTAGGCCAACGTGCTGAAAGCCCATCTCTACTCTACTAAAAATACAAAAATTAGCTGGACGTGGTGGCATGCACCTGTAGTCCCAGCTACTCAGGAGGCTAAGGCATGAGAATCACTTGAACCCAGGAGGCAGAGGTGGCAGTGAGTAGAGATTCCACCACGGCACTCCAGCCTGGGAGATAGAGTGACACGGTTAAAAAAACAAACAAACAAACAAAAAACCCTCAACTTTCTCATATCTTAAATGGGAGCATAAATACTAATCTCAGGGCTGGGCTCAGTGACTCACACCTGTAATCCCAGCACTTTGGGAGGACGAGGCGGGCGGATCACGAGGTCAGGAGATCGAGACCATCCTGGCTAACATGGTGAAACCCCATCTCTACTAAAAATACAAAAAATTAGCTGGGTATGGTGGCGGGTGCCTGTAGTCCCAGCTACTTGGGAGACTGAGGCAGGAGAATGGCATGAACCTGGGAGGCGGAGCTTGCAGTGAGCGGAGATCATTCCACTGCACTCTAACCTGGGCAACAGAGCAAGACTCCATCTCAAAAAAAAAAATACTAATCTCAGAAAGTTGATGAATTTGAGGATGATTGAAGATTAAATAAAAAGATATCAAAACAGCACAATTTCTGTCACTGAACAGGTACTGTTAGTAAGGATAATAATCAGTATTGCTCTGTTAGTCCTATAAAAGCAATGGCTTTTAATTATTTTTGTATTTGTCAAGTATAAGATAAATACAAGAGTCTCTAGACATATAATTCCCAATTCTCCACTGTTACTCATAAAATTGAGAAGAAAAAATGTCTTCACAACTCAAAAGTATTAGCCATTGCCTTTTCTAACAAAAGGGAACAACCGCTTATTCCAGACATGATAGCGGTGCTTTGGAATTCTCAGAATACAAGGGCTATAGAGAATGACTTCACCTCTCCAGAGAACTAAAGATAAGATTGGGAAAGAGCATCTGTAATTTAATGTTATAACCAGAAGAAAATGAGAATAGATGGGGTTGAACATGTCAGAGCAGTAAAAGGCAGTGAAATTATGGAACGCAGCCAAATGCCAGGAAATACATAGATTATAACATAGAGATTAATAATGCCCTTTCTCAAATTAACTTTTTTTCCTTTCCTGTTCTGATATTTCAGGTTTGGTATTATGTTTTGATATAACTGTTCATGGATTAAATCAAGTACGATTTTTCTGTTTTTATCTTTTTTTTAAGTTCACAACCTGATATGAAAGTCCTCCAGCATGAAAAGCATGCACTCAGACTGTGGAGACATGCCTGACTGTCTATTTCAACACAACTCGTGCTCAGGGCTGTATGTAAGCACAGAGCAGAACCCAAGCAGGGAACATGGACAGAGGAAATTGGCCACATGCTATTATTACCCCATCCACATTGATGGCTCTAATAAGTCCACAGAATGTTTTAATAAATCGTTTAGAAATATACTTGCATCATGTCTTCTGTTTCCTTCTCTCAAAGAAGAAAAAAATATGATGATATTGCTAGCAAAATTGGGGAGTTCTGAGATAAACCCAGCACTTTTCCTTTTTTTTTTTTTTTTTTTTTTTTTTTTTGAGGCGGAGTTTTGCTCCTGTCTCCCAGGCTGCAGTGCAATGGGGCAATCTCAGCTCACTGCAATCTCCACCTCTTGGGTTCAAGCGATTCTGCTGCTTCAGCCCTTCACCCTCCCAAGTAGCTGGGATTACAGGCATGTACCACCACACCTGGCTAATTTTTTTTTGTATTTTTAGTAGAGACAAGGTTTCACTATGTTGGCCAGGCTGGTCTCAAACTCCTGATCTCAAGTGACCTGCCTGCCTCAGTCTCCCAAAGTGCTAGGATTACAGGCATGAACCACCATGCCCGGCCTGCTTTTCCTCATCTTAAACTACCGGGTAGTTGGTATAGCATCAAAGCTAAAAAAACACATGAGAGATTATCAAATTCTAACATTTTGTTTTTCAGATGAGTAAACAATCTTCCTGAGAAGCTAAGTGAGAGCACCAGTTATCACAGGACTATGGCAGAACTAGAAATAGGGGTACCTCACTTTTCCTGGCCTCGTTAGGGCAAGAGCAGCAAGGTGGTCATTATGACATAGACACACTATACCTTGGAACGTGCATAAAAGACCATTGGGACAAATTAGGGTCATATATGAAGAACAAACTCCTTTTGAGGGGCATGTATCAAAATGTGGAATAATAGTCTATTAACTTTATTGCATGAATATATATATATATAATATATTCATGTGTATTTATATGTATATCTCCAGTATGTATAGATACATACTGTATTAGTCCATTGTATTAGTCTATTTATTTAATAAATAAAATAGCTGTATGAAAATGGACTAATACAGCAATTTTATTTATTTTAGTTGTTATGACCTGAATCTTAGCTAAAACCCACAAACAGAAAATTAACTGGGCTATGTGGAAGTCCTAAACTTAGGTTTAAACACCAAATTACATGATAATAGAAACAGACTTGTCTTAATTCAAGGGAATGAGACATAGCTTAGTAATCTGTGAATGATGCTTTTCACTGGATGTGAGAATAATGTGTAGTTTGTATTAGTCTGTTCTCAGGCTGCTATAAGGACATACCTGAGACTGGGTAATTTATAAAGGAAAGAGGTTTATTTGACTCACAGTTCAGCATGGCTGGGGAGGCCTTAGGAGACTTATAATCATGGCAGAAGGGGAAGTAGGCACCTTCTTCACAAGGTGGCAAGAAGGAGAAGTGTCCAACACAGGGGGAAGAGTTCCTTAGAAAACCATCAGATCTCTTGAGAACTCACTCACTATCATGAGAAACAGCATGAGGGAAACCACCCCCGTGATTCAATTACCTCCACCTGTCCTCTCACTTGCCACGTGGGAATATGGAGATTATAGGGATTACAATTCAAGATGAGATTAGGGTGGTGAAACAAAGCCTAACCATATAATTCCAACACTGCTCCCTCCCAAATCTCATGTCTCTTTCACATTTCAAAACCAATCATGCCTTCCCAACAGTCCCCTAAAGACTTAATTCATTCCAGTATTAACCCAAAAGTCCAAGTCCAAAGTCTCTCCTGAGACAAGGCAAGTCTCTCCTGCCTGTGATCCTGTAAAAGCAAAAGCAAGTTAGTTTTATTCCTAAATACCACAGGGGTACAGGCATTGGGTGAATATACCCATTCTAAATAGGAGAAATTGGCCAAAACAAAGGGGCTACTGGCACCACCCAAGTCCAAAATCCAGTGGTGCACTCAAATCTTAAGGCTCCTAAATGATATCCTTTGACTCCATGTCTCACATTCAGGTCACACCGATGCAAGAGGTGGGCTCCCGTGACCTTGGGCTGCTCTGCCCCTGTGGCATTGCAGGGTATATAGCTCCACTCCTAGCTGCCTTCACAGGTTGGTGTTGAGTCTCTGTGGCTTTTCGAGGTGCACGGTGCAAACTGCCTGTGGATCAACCATCCTAAAATCTGGAGGATTGTGGCCCTCTTCTCACAGCTCCACTAGGCAGTGCCCCAGTGGGGACACCGTGTGGGGGCTCTGACCCCACATTTCCCTCCCACACTGTCCTACAGAGGTTCTCCATGAGGGCTCTGCCCCTGCAGCAAACTTCTCCCTGGACCTCCAGGTGTTTCCATACATCTTCTGAAATGTAGTCAGAGGTTCCCAAACCTCAATTCTTTACCTCTGTAAACCTGCAGACTCAACACCACGTGGAAGCTGCCAAGGCTTAGGGCTTGCACCCCCTGAAGCCATTGGCCAAGCTGCACATTAGCCCCTTTTAGCCATGACTGGGACACAGGGCATCAAGTCCTGAGACTGCGCAAAGCAGCAAGGCCCTGGACCCAGCCCATGAAACCATTTTTTCCTCCTAGGCCTCCAGGCCTGTGATGGACGGGGCTGCCGTGAAGACCTCTGACACCCCATGGACAAATTTTTCCCATTGTCTTGGTAATTAACATATGACTCCTCATTTCTTATGCAAATTGCTGCAGCAAGCTTGAATTTCTCCTCAGAAAATGGGTTTTTCTTTTCTATCACATCATCAGGCAGCAAATTTTCTAAACTTTTATGCTCTGCTTCCCTTTTAAACATAGTTCCAATTCCAAACATCTCTTTGTGAATGCATAAAACTAAATGCTTTTAATAACTCCCAGGTCACCTCTTGAATGCTTTGCTGCTTAGAAAATATTTTTTTGCCAGATACCCTAAATCATCTCTCTCAAAATCGAATTTCCACAGATCCCTAGAGCAGGGGCAAAATGTCACCAGTCTGTTTGGCAAAGCATAGCAGGTATCACCTTTATTCCATTTCCCAACAAGTTCTGCATCTCTGTCTGATACCACCTCAGCCTAGACTTCATTGTCCATATCACTATCAGCATCCTGGTCAAAGCCATTCAACAAGTTTCTAGAAACTTCCAAACTTTCCCACATCTTCCTATCTTCTTCTGAGTCCTCCAAACTGTTCCAACCTCTGCCTGTTACCCAGTTCCAAAGTCACTTCTACATTTTTGGGTATCTTTATAGTAGCACCCCACTCTCTGTGATACCAATTTACTGTATTAGACAGTTTTTATACTACTATAAAGAACTGCCCAAGACTGGACAATTTACAAAAGAAAGAGGTTTAATTGACTCACAGTTTAGTATGGCTGGGGAGGCCTCAGGAAACTTACAATCTTCCATATACCAGTATATCTTCAATATACCAGTGTTTTCATTTCTATATTTCTTTTGGCTTTTTCTTTATGTTTCACCTTCTCGCTAACTTCTTCAAACCCTTTGAACTCTTCTCACTAGGCACTGTCCCATATTTTAAACAAAAAAAAACCAAAATTTCTAATTTCTCAAACATTCACCTTCAGCCACTTAAATATATGACTATATTTTTTACCATTTCTTTACCTGGTATGACAGCTTCCCTGAAGTCTTAAAATTCATTTAAGTTTTGGTGTCTTGTTCAACTCCTGGTGCTTCCAGTTATCTCACTCAGTTTCTGGTATGAACCACTATTCTTCTCCAGCATAAACATTTCCAGTGCCTTCCTTTGTCCATTTAGTTCCATTCTGGCTTCACCACTCTCCTAATCAATGTAAATACCAAGATCAAGCAGTAAAATTATTCTTATGACTACTTTTATTTCTGGTGGGCACCTTGTCATGTGTTCCCTTTGTCTATCAAAATCCTAGACCTGAAGCTATAATAATTCATCTTTTTTACCCCTATAACAAGATTGCTGAACAATGAAAAATCACAGAATGCAACCACTGTCAACTCACAGTATTCAGCCTCTGGTGATTGTTAAAACTGAAGTCGTCTTCTTTTATATATTCCTGGTCAGCTTAATTCTACCTCTCCTAAAATTCTCAGGAGGTAATGTCCCCCACCTCAGACAGAAGAGAGGCCAGAGGTGGAGGAACTGAAAAAATTACACACAATTTTTTCTCCCATATCACTTTAAAAAGCCAGCCTTCACCCAGATCCTATAGCGATCCATCTTCATTCTTTCTCTTCTAGTTCCAGGAGAAGATGCAGTTTCTTCCAGTTATGAGCTAATCTTTCTTAGTGTTTAAAATAAGCCCCTTATAATATCTTTGGGAATGTTTCCAAACATTCGATATGATTATAGCTCCTTTCAAGATCTACAGTCTTTCTATATTGGTTCTTACTCTGTTCCTCACAGTAAACACGGTCATCTCTCTTCTGTCACAAAACAAAAACCTTCCCCTGACTCCCCCTTCCCTATTGTTTGTCCTTTTCTTCCTTCTCTTCAACCAAACTGTATAAAGAAAATTCACTGTTATTTCTTGTATTTCCTCCTTAATACATTGCAATCTATCACTTTACTGAAGCTGTTATTCCTCACATCACAAGTGGTCACATAGTTTGATTCAGTGAACATTTTTTGGTTCTCAGACTATTCATTCTGTTTACAGCACTCAAAATTAACTTACAATGTTTAAAAATCTCTCTTCTTTCCATCTTCAATGACACCACTCTCTATAGCCTGCCTTTCTCTTCCTCTGTCCATGAGTTAGTGGTGATGCAAGTTCAGGATTCTCTCCTTGGCTCTTTTAGGGGATGTTCCCACTTGTCAGCAAGCAAGAATCTGAACCCTCTTCTGAGGTTGCTGGGATTTTTCATTTTATGTCTTGTTGATAGGCAGAGATTGTCTTTCTCTATGGAAACTGAGACTTGATTTCTACATCTTCTTTACAACCAGCATGTACACATGTGACACAGTAGCTTTTGACTCGGGAGCTTGTGAATGTAAGAAGCGGGATGGGTGAGGCTCACTTCCACAGGGCTGACAGGCAGTGGAAATGTTGGCAGAGGCAGCATCGGCAGGGGTGATAGGTCGTATCCATCTCATTTCCACACTAAGAAGATGGGTTGCATAAGCCACAGAGGCCCCTTGTCGGGACTGGTGGTAGCAGAGTTCTCAGCCTTGGTCAAGAAAAGAGTATCCTTATCCTCAGAGATCTGCAACAGCAAAGGACTGAAAAAACACAATTTCGTGCAGTGATACCTGCTAAAACATACAAAACTGGGCCGTGTGATAGGAGGTAGCAAATGTAATGTAAATGGGAACTGCTTCACTAAAATAATCAGAGGTCATTCAGCTGAGGAGTCACATGGGGTCATGATGCTAAAAGAGAGAAGCAAACCATGAAATACCTTAGAAAGAGCCTCCCCATAGAAAGTACGACCACGCAGGCACAGGCTGGGTGATGTCCAAAGAAGCCTGGGTCAGCAGATTGGGAAGCTCAGGCAAGAGTGGTGGGACCTGAGGTCAGATGTTGGACAAGGGCCAGGGCCTGGACGAATTTGGATTTAATTTCATGAGTACCTTGCAGTTAAGTTATACTTATTAAGATGGTGAAATGTAATCGGTTCAGGATATGTTTTGAAGGAAGAGCTGGTAACTCTTGATGAGTGATAGGATATGAGGTATGACTGCTAGGTTTTGGACCTTAACAATCAAATAACAGTGAAATTCATGAAACGGAAAGATGGAGAAGGCATTAATGTGGAAAAGGGTGCAATGAAGAATTCTCTGTGGCTGTGTTAACTTGGATACGCATGTGAGGCATCAAAGGGGAGAACAGTGGGTTGAAGAATTTTGGATGCAGTGGAGGTTGAGCTGGAAGTGTAAACTTAACAGTCACCCAGGTAGTAAATGCACATACAAAATAGAGCTATGATAAGCAACTTTGAAACTTAGAGACCAGGGAAAGGATGACCCAGTAAAGGAGATAGAGAAGGGGTAGAGAAAAGAGAAGAAAACTAGGATTGTGGTGTGATGGAAGTTATGTAATTCATGTGTTTCCAGAAAGAAGGAATCATTAAGGAATGGCACAAAATTGACTATTGTACATGGAAGGATGCAAGTTATTGGCTTCCTTGACATGAACAGATTTATGAAGGAGTAGAACTCAAATCCTGAAGGGTAGGTGAAGAGAGGTGAGGAATGAAGGCAGAGATTGGAAGCAACCCTTCCAAGGAGTTATGCTATAAGAGGAACAGGTGCAGGAGTTGAAGCTGATTATGGGCTCAAAAGAGGTTCATGCATTTATCTATTGATTTCTTTAATGAGAGCATATTTGTTTGCTAAAAATGATCCAGTAGAGAGTGACAGAATAATAATGCAGAAGGGAGAAGATATAATTGCAATAATAAAGTCCTGGGGAAAGCAAGAAGAATGGAACCCAGAGCAAAAAATAGAGTTGTTTGACGTGCACATGAGCAGTTCATCCATTTCAACAGGAACGAAAGCAGAGCTGCCCGAGATCCATGGAGATTGGCTGTTTCTTTTCTGGTGGCTTCTATTTTCTATGTAGAATGAGATGAGATGTCATGAACTAATAGTGAGGTGGAAACAGGGATGCTGGGACTTAGAGGCAGGAGGAGAAGATATACAATAGATGTGTCAGAGAGTAGGAGTGTAATTTAACTATAGAAATTTATAGGACTGCCAAGCAGTGAGAAAGGCCCACTTGGGAACTGTGGTGATAAATTAAAGAGGTCCCAGTTAGCATTGCTGCAAGATGTCACCGTCTTGCAGAGTGGGGTTTATGTTTTATTTTCTCTTTATATCTTGAGGCTACCACAGTAGATATTCAATGAATGACAGCCAAAAATTGACTTCACTGGATAAAACTCCAGATGAGAAAATGCTTCTTTATGTGTAAATATGTCTAGGGCAGGATAGCAAATAAAAGCGCAGAGCCCTTTCAAGACCCTCTTTCATGAGTTGTCATTATCTCCATGATCATCACCTTTTTCAACATTTCTCTAATGCTTTCCAGTTCACAGAGTTTCCAAAGTGAAATTGTAGCTTTGTTGAAAGATGAATTTTGTTTTCTAAGCCAATTGCATAAGTCAGCACCCCACTTTAGGTTATTATATCATAGAGGTTAGTAATATAGGCGTGCTTTGGAGTTGGACACCCACACATTTGGAGTTGGACACCCACACATTTGAATCCTGGTTCAAACACCTATTAGCTATGTGATCTGAGTTATATTACCCAAACTATTTCTGCCTCAGTTTTTTAATCAATAAAATTAAAAATGATAATATCTACTTAATATGCAAAGTTTAAAGGAAGTAAGTGTGTGATAAATATTAACTATAATTGCAAAACTCCGTAGTAGAATATAAGAATCAAGGCAGATATCACAAATTAGAATGTCGTGACAGAATAACTGGTATGTGAATCACCATACACAACTAGAAAACTGGACAAACATATGAAAAACCATCTTTTCATATTGGGTTTCAGATAGGAAAGGACTGGATCCTGAGAAGAGAGAAACAAATGAGGTAAGCCTTCCAATTGTGTGAAATTCTGAATTCATGGTAGGGAACAGTGAAGGAATATGTACCACCCTGTTTCTTGTTAACCAAACTTTGAATATTTTCTAATGGTTTTGGTGGCTTTTGTATCATATAACACTTCATTGCTTTATATCTCAATCTTTTCCAGATCCTCTATTTGCTTACTGAACACTAGCCATTAGATCAGGTTTTTAAAAATTCAGTCATTAGCAATCACTGTCATCAATGGAGCTTTATCCTCTTGATTGAACTGTTCTCCATCACTTTGAGAGTACCCATATAAAATAACCACATGTTATATGCAATCCCATACTTACCTTTTTCCTTTCCTGCTTGCAACCATATTAATTTGCATTGCCTTTGGGTTACAGGTTGAATTCAATTCTACACAAAATAAAGTGTTGTGCCATTTTTTCATGTGACATTTTCTGGTTTTGATTTTTGTGTGTAGCTTATATAAACTACTGTCAAAATTTTATTGTTAGAATTCAGAGAAAGCTTCATGTTTCCTGCTGTGTGATATATCACCCTGTACCTCTTTAAGTAAGTAGAACTTATTTTTATGTATTATTTGGTTTACAAATGAAAACAAACTCTGATAAGAGTTAGTCACTATTAGGAAAGACAAAAAAGAATAAAAATAGATCAACAATGATAGCCTTTTACTTGTAATTCAGTATTTGTAATATATATTGGTGCTGAGCTACTGAAAAATCTTAATTTTTATTTTTAAATGGTGAATGGCAGATAATAATGTACACACTCACACTTACCCTTGAACAGAATTACAGAGTGTGCCACAAAAAGGACGGTGTAGTGGGAGATTAAACTTCGTTTACCGTGAAATAATAACGAACCTTAATAAACATGAAGTACTATTAGGGCAAGCAACATACATTCTGTCACTTGATTTATAAAGTCATGAATAAAATAATTTGTCACCTGACTTTACTTATGCCCAGATTACCTGGCTTCTCTGCCATCAAAGCATAAAAACAAGAAGAGGACTTACAGACTGTTTCTTTCATACATAAAGGAAATTATAAAAGAACTCTTCACTTTGAGAAGTATAGTAATATGCTAGCCTCAACTACTTAAACTTTATATTAAATAGTTTTATATGTTAAAATTTGTCCCTAGAAAGTTTTCTAATTTAACATTTGCAATAATGAATAATGAGACTACCTATGAAAATTGTCATATTTTTTAAATATGAAAACAATCAACTCTCCTTGTTAAAATTTCTTCTAACATACGTAAGAATATTCTAATGAGAGGCTACTCCAAGATATAACAGGTTTTCTGTCAATAACAATAGCCAATCCAAAGCCGTTAATCAGAGGAATGTCTTAGAGAAGATATAAGCACAGGGTATAAATGACTAAATAAATGACACTTAAACCATCATCAGTTCAAAATAAGAAGTTCTGCTTATTGAAGACGAGGTAGACATACTTTTCCCTATTTATATTGCTAAGATATAATGCACATGAAAAACATAAGAAGTTTCCAAAAGGTGGAGATAACATAGCCTTCGTAGGGACTTCGGAATTCATGCACATGAACTTATGGTAATTTCCTTGGATTTTCTGTTTGCCTCATCTATCCAAATCATGGTGATGAAGAAGTCTGAAATTTAGAAACAATAATGAACACAGACAAAAATAACCTCCAGAGGAGTCTGCTCTTTCTGTAGCCAAAGGACTTAGAAAGAAACAGCAGAGCAATGCAGAAAACTTTCAAACAATGACTCCAGGTGAACACCACAGAAAAGTCTGTGCCCCCACCCTCACACAGGCGAGTTAAGGCCAAGGCAGGACTTGCAAGGCTGTGATCAGGCATGGAAAAAATGTTATTGCTACAGACCCTGTAGATGTCAAAAGAACGGCAAGAGAATACTGTGAATAACTCTATGCACATAAATTCGACAAGTTAGATAAAATGGAACAAATACTTGAAAAATACAAAGTAGCACAATTCACCCAATACAAGATTGATAATTTTAGTAGCCCTCTAACTATTAAGGAGATTGAAGTTTTGATTTTAAAACTCTTCCCAAAAAGAAACCTCCAGCTCCAGATGGTTTTAGTACAGAATTCTACAGAATGTTTAAATAATTAACACAATTCTATACAATGTCTCCCAAAAATTAGAAGAGGGAACACTTCATATTTATTTTACAAAGCTAGTATTACCTTAATAGCAAAAGCAGACAAAGATAGTACCTAAAAATAAAGTGAGAAACCAACAAATCATAAACAGAGACAAAAAATTTAAAATAAACTATCAGCAAATATAAATCCATGACATCTAAAAAAATTACACTATGACCAAGGGAAGTTGATTGCAGGAATTTAAGGCTGATCAATATTTAAAACTCAATGTATGCCACCATATCAATAAAGTAAATAAAAAGAAACAAATGATCATATTAACTGATGCAGAAAAAGCACTTGACAAAATTCAGCATCCATTCATGGTAAAAAATGTTAGGAAATAGGAATAAAAGGGAGCTTCTTCAACTTAAAAACTAACAAAAATGAACAGATAAGATTACACTTAATGGTGAAAGACAATGTTTACATCCTAAGATTTAGAACAAATCGAGACTGTTTGCTCTCACCACTCTTAATTTATACATAATGCTGGAAGTGATAGCCAGTGAAATAAGACTATGGAAGGAAATAAGAAGTATGCAGATTAAAAGGAAAAAAATAAAGCTGTCCTATTTGCAGATGATATGATTGTCTACATAGAAAATTCCAAAGAATCTAGAAGAAATTCTGGAACTAATAAGTGAGTAGCCAGATACAAAATTAACAAAAAAAATCAATTTGTATTTGTGTATACTAGCAATGAACACATGGACACTAAAATTAAAAATAAAAATTTTAGTTTTTATTTACAATTACTCAAAAAATTTAATACTTAGGTATAAAACTAACAAAACATATGCAGAAATGTGTATGTGGAAAATTACACAGTACTGATAACAGAAATCAAAGAAGATCTAAATACATGCAGAGACATGCTATATTAATGGGTTGGAAGACTCAACAAAGAAAAAATGTCAATTGTACTAAAATTGATATACTGGTTTTACACAATTTTTAACAAATTTAGCAAATTTGTTTAGGTATACACAAGATTATTTTAAAACTTCTAGAGTAATCTAAAACAATTTTGAAAAGAAATAAAAAAGTGGGAGAAATTAGCTTACCAAATTTCAGAATGTATTGCATAGCTGCATTAACCAAGACTATGTGGTAGTGGGGAAGGTATAGACACAGAGAACTATTAACTAGAACAGAGAACCCCCAAATCAACTCCAACAATATGCCCAACTGATTTGGCAGTGGTGAAAGCAACTCTGTGGAGAGAAAATTACCTTCTCAATAACAGTGTTTCAGCAACTGGACATCCATAGGCAAAATAAACTAACCTTGATATTCAAAAAAATGAAATCTCATATTATACAAAGTTAACACAATATAGATCATAGAGTTAAATATAAAAAAAGTATTTGAGGAGAAAATTTTCAATATCTAGGGCTAGAAAGAATTCTTGGACTTCTCACCAAAAACAATCTATAAAAGGAAAAAGTGATAAATTTTACTTCACCAAAATTAAAAAGTTTTTGTTTTGTGGAAGATTCTGTTGAAAATGAAAAGGTAAGTTAGGGAGTAGAAGAACATATCTGTAAGCTATACATCTGACAAAGGAATAGTATCTAGAATACATAAAGAACTCATAACTCAACAATAAAAGACCAAACAATTTAATGGGCAAAATAAATAAAGAGATATTTCACTGAAAGGAATATACGGTTTGCAAATAAGTGCACAAAAGGATCTTCAATGTTATTAGCCATTGGGAAAGTAAATTAAAACCGCAATGAGATATTACCACTTATCTGTGAAAATAGCTAAAATTAAAACAAAACAAAACAAAACAAAAAAAACTAGTGACAACACCAAATGCCCGTGAAGGTGAGGAGGAACTGGATAATTCATATATTCCTGGTGGAAATGTAAATTTCTGCAGCCACCCTGGAAAACAGTTTGGCAATTTTTTTAAAAGCTAATATGAAACTACCATACAACTCAGAAAGTGAACTTTTGGGTCAGAGAATTGAACACTATGGCACTCAAAAACCTGGACACGAATATTTATAGCAGCTTTATTTGTAAAAGCCCCAAACTGGAAATAATACAGGTGTCCTTCATCAGGTGAAAGGTGGTACAAACTGTGGTACAGCCATAGTGTGGAATACTTAGCAACAATAAAGTCAATTATCAATACACACAAATGAATGAATTTCCAGAGAAGTATGGCTGAGTAAAAAAAAAAAAGCCATTGTTAAAGGCTAAATATTATATTATTCCATTTATAATATTCTTGAAATGACAAAATTATAGAAATGCAGAGCAGATTGGCCACAGTTAAGGACAGGGCAGGGACAGAAGGGAATTGTGTGTGGCTATAATGGCAAGATAAGGGGTCTTTATAGTGATGAAATGTTCCATATCTTGACTATATTAGCAACAGCATCCTGGTTGTGATGTTGTGCTACAGGTTTGTAAGATGTTACCATTCGGGAAAGCTGAGTAAAAGGTATTCAGGATGTCCCTGTATTATTTCTTAAAATTGCCTATGCATTTATAATCATCTCAAAATAAAAAGTTTAATAAAGGTATAGATTATTGACTGGATATAGGCAGCCTTTATTACATTAATTGCTCGCAGACAAAATTAAACAATGAATATAAATAGATAATATTTTCTAAATTGAGAGGTATTATTTTGCAGTAGGAAGACCATAGGCTTTAGAGACAGAATATAAGTTTGAACCTTAGATCTGCTGAGGATTAGCTGTGTCAACTTATTCTAAAACTCACATTTACTGACTCTATATCTAGTGTTCCTTCAACTACATCACTGTGTTCTTAAATCACATAGCTTTCATAGATCAATTGACAATAAAATATTGATGCATAAATTATCTAAGGTTGGATGTCATATTACCAGACAACTAAGAATAGTATTACAGTAAATATAATACCACTAAAATCCATCTAAATTTTAAAATGAATGTTACTTACAGCACATGATGAAAATAATGCTAAAGAAAATCTGTTTCTGTCAACAGTTGTTTAATGGGCTGTATTTTGGGGGTACTATCTAGTTACTTTAAATTGTGAAAAAAATTAACATCATTACCCAGGACCAGGAGGAATAACAAATATGTAATAAGAATCTGGTCTATAGTTTATGGAAAAAAATATAGCGACACAATACAGTAACGATTACGGATACACTGGTGCAAATAAATGAGCAAGCATTCGTAAAATGTGCCCAATTTTACAGCCATGTCAGTTTTAATAGTATAATTTCTCCTAACTGCTACCGTGGGTATTGGTTCAATATGAACTGGAGGAAGACTACCTTCTACTGAATCAATTACTGCATGAACACAAAACAACATTCCAGTTGCCAGTTTAGACTGATAGAAATAATTTGATCAAAATTAATAAATAGTTCTTGCAGAGAACCGTACTTTTTTTTTTTTTTTCAAATCTTCTTGCAGATTTAATACCAAGATTCTCAGGTGCGCTCAGACTGACATTGCCAGTCATGTTGTGGTATACTGCAACTGCTTTTCTCTACAATTTCTACACCACCAAAAAACTGTAAAACTGATCATTTATACTGTTACTTATATATTGAGAATGCTACTTTGGTTTCCTGAAGTAATTAAATTACACTTAAAATTATGTGCATGAGAACAGGTTCATTAACCCCAGGGGGTTATCTTTTATAAAGAAAATAATTCAAACAGCAAGAGATACAAAACATACTATTTCCCCCACAATAGAATTTCATTGTGTTATTTTTTACCATTTATTAATAAGAACAATTAATTCATTAACTAGAAGTTAAAAATAAAATAATACCAATGAAAATTTGCCAATATTGATAAAAACATATCATGTTTAATTATTTCCCTTATATTAGAAATGTTACTATTATATAATCCAAATATTGGTATTTTTGGTGAATTCTTTACATTAAATATCTACAAGTGAGGTTGGAATTGCTGTATTAAATAGTTTGTTTTATTGATTGCTTTTAATTTACATTTCAAATTGTAATTCATAAAATTCATGCATCCAATTGCAGTGTAGTGCCCATTTTGCAATATTGGCCCAGCAAATGATTATATATTTTCAAAGAATACTATTATTTTTACAAAATTGTTTTCTATTATGCCAGTCAAAAATGTAATTGTCTTTAATAATACTTTCCTTATAAGTGGGGATTAAAATTATTTTACATAATTATTTGTGGTTCTTTCATAAACTTTGGCTAATGTTTTTTGCTACGTTCTGGTTTTCTACCCCATTATATATTTTGTTGCATTTTTCTTATTATGAAAGTTCATCTCAAAATACAAGCAAAACACACAAAAAGAGAGAACAAACTTCACAATGGTATATACATCTTCTGTGGAAACTTTGTTTTATGTTTTTAAACATACATATGCACATGCACATACATTAAATTAAATCAATGAATACACACAAATATATTAACATTTGCATACAAAGACATATGCTTCTATAACATTATTATTAATAGTTGCATAACATTTTATGGCCTGATTCTAACAGAATTCCTATTTCCTGTTGTAAAATATGTTCATTTCTTCACTATTTAAAACAAGCACTGCAAACATGGATACTTTTAACTCAATATATGAATATCCATACCATAACAATTTGTCTATAATAAATTAGGAGAGTTGCAAATATTGCTCTATCACCTATCTCATCTATCATTGATCAATCTTTCTATTTAATAATTTAGATTAAGAAATAAAATTGTCTTTCAGAGTGGTTGTACAGATAAATTTATGTGCTTACTAGCAGTTTATGAGACTGGCTTTTTAGACTGGGTATTTTTTTTTCTAACTGTTGTTTTGCCTTTTAAAAATAATTTTTTGTTTGTTATTTTTTAATGTTTTATTTTGGTTTATTTTATAATATTTTGTACATTCTTGTTGTATCTTTCTGACTCATTATTGAATAATGTATTTTCTATTTACATTTCTTTGATAACACTGAGGTATATTTTTAAATTATTTTTATATATTTTATTAATAGATTTTCATATCCTTTTGCTATTTGCTCTTATATTGTAGTTTTCCTTTTTTTGTGTATGTGCACTAGTTTCATAATTGACATAGTAAAATATATGAGTTATATATGCAAAACTTTGGCTCTTCATTTCATCTAATAGATATGGCTCCACTTAAAAAATTTCCTTTTGCTTTAGTATTATTGCATATTATTTTTAGACAGAAGCAGCAGTTGGGCTGTGATGCAAATTTTAATGGCTTTTGGGTTTTTTTGGAGTGAAGTGCATATTCAATTACTTTCCCATTTTTCTTTGCCTATTTCTAATATATACAAATTCCTTTTATATTATAGATATTATTTCTTATCAATAACACATTTTAAAATGTCTTATTTTTACGGTGCTTTTCACACCCTAACGTGTATATTTAGTGAATAGAGGTCTTTGATATGTATTTAGTCAAGTGTATCATGTATCTGTAATTTCTTTGTATGGTTAGTATGCTTTTTGTTTTGCTTAAGAGATTCCTTCTTGCAGAAATTTATGAAGATATCATCTTCGATTATATTCTGACAGTCTTATTATTGGCTACCACCTATATTTCCTTAATTCACCTGTAATTGATTTTTGTGTATGGTTTGATAAAGGGGACATCTTTCTTTTTGATATCTATTGTCTCACATCATTTATTCAGTCTTTCCACTTTATTGGCCAGGCTGCCCACAGGACACAAGGTGGGGAGTGATGATGGTAAACCAAGAATAGCATGTGGTAACTTTATGAGATGCTAGATGCATCTTCACCTCGGGTGTAGTTACACAAATATATAACTGTAAGACCAATGATGGTATACGCCTAAAACATATTCATTATACACAATTTACTGCATGTATGTTACACATTGGGATGAAAGACAATATAGAAAGTTAAATTAAGTGACTATATATAAGTGCTTGCTGGGTTAAGAGACACTGAAGGAGAGATGGAGAAGCCAGAGGGACAAGCAATAGGAAGATACTATTACTACTTAAAGCTTTAAAGAGATAGGGAGAGAGCAGTTACCAACACCAATGTCAGCTGTAGTGTCAGGCACCAGTGCCCATCAGAAACTGTTCAGGAACACTGCCAAGGCCACTGTGACCCGACAGAAAGTGAGCTAAGGAAGTAGACACCCAACCTCTAGCTTCCCAGCATGTCACTGCCTACTCATTTTCTGCCTACGCTTTCAACTGGCAGGAGGAGGAACAAAGCCAGAGGGTGAAGGAGCCTTGTTGATGGAGTGTAGAGACATCAGAATCTCAGGGTGTGGAATAAGGTTGGTTGGTGCCAAACACAAAGCTCAGCTACTGATTGGAATGTGCTTTGTCACCTGTCAAGCGGTAATGCTTGTTTATGGAATTTTTATTTTTTTCAAATAAAAATAAAAGATATCAATTATTTTCACTATGACACTCCCCGTATTTAATATTGATAAAATATTTCAAATTCATATTGACGATTTTAATTTAAACATAATATAATTAGTTCTCCTATTATTCTATTCCTTTGAAACTGAAAGAAAATGAGAAGAATGAAAAAGAACTTCGTCTTCAATTCAATTAGAATGCAGTTTCAATTGCAATCCTTGATGTCTAAGAAAGGAAGCATATATCAGACTCATTTATCTGCAGGGGTCTTGGGTGCGAATATCTTCCAAAAAAGGATGCCTAGTGTACAGAGTCCAGTAAGCAATGCATTACTTAGGATGCAAAAGTCCAGGTCTACAGGGGAATGCTTGGTTCGCTGTAGGAGGAAGGGTCACGGAGACATGAATTCTCAATGCACCATTTTTGCTCTTAGTTTGACAGAGTAAATAAAGGAGAAAACACTGAGCAGCATCAAATCAGGCAGCCAGCGATCCTCACCACCTGAAGTTACTGTGTAATCACCCCTAACTAGCAAAATATGGAGCTTGAGGGTGAGCCAGGAGACTTCCTGGGACCTGAATGGAGGCATAGCCTTGGGCAGACACAAAATAGGAAAATGTTCAGAGAATGCTGCTTAAAATCCCGACAGGCAGCTGAAGTGCTTAGCCAACACATGCTCTACTTAGCCTCCCTTCCTCCCACCCACCCAGTACTCCCCAAAGGATATTTGCCTTAGAGGACTACAGCATGTGATAAAAGATGAGCGATGCCTTGAAAGAACTCTTGAATGATAATATGACTACCCAAAATCAAATAGTGGGAAGGAAGACAACATAGCTGAATGACTTTTTTCAGTTTTAAAGTAGGGAAGTAACACATATTACCAAAAAAGGTAAGTAAACATTATATGTAATGTATAAATATAATAAAAAACAAAAATTCCAACTGTTGATATTCTAATATTTCATAAGAGAAACACAGCAGAAAAAGTATAAATCACATTGAGAAGATGAAAATACAAAGAAAGCACTAATAATAGGAGGAATAGAGTAAAATACAATGATAAAACCCAAGTATGTGTAAACCATGAAAATTAGTCTATGAAAATTAAAACAAAGTATTCAAAGTATATAAGAGCAAAATTGACTTTTATGGTAAGAAGTACCCAAAATATTGTTTTCAGAAATGATTAAAAGTAAAAGGAAACAGAGACATACCAGATGACGAAAACTTGTAAATTTAATAACAATGAGTAAAATAAAATAATAATACAATAATAAAATAAAACAAAGGAAGTTTTTTGTAAAAATATAAATGACAGATACAATAACAATGTATGATCTACCATAGAACATCAGGGTTGAAGCTCATCGTATAGCAAACAGTTTACAAATATAATTGAAATCACAACAAAACTGAATGAAATAAAACAGAAAATGAGAAAAAATAATGTGAACTTCTGAGGCTAAATTACTTTTCTCAGTTCAAGACAGAGGAAAAAGTCCAAAATTATGTGATAATACAGAAAACACAAGTAATAAATAAATGATACCAATATGAACTCATAAGATATATATAAGTTTATATAAGCTCTAATCCATATATTATGTATGTATATAATCTTTATAGTTGTATATTTTATAATTAAAAACTACACCTTTTAAAAGTGTCCATAAGATGTACTAAAAAATTTAATCATGTATTAAGTAAAACAAGAAAATAACAATAAAGTCCAAAAATACAAATAATATAAACATACCAATTTTGTAACAAAAAATAAATGATAAAAATATAAGCAGTGTCAAAATGACTGTTAAAAGGAAAATTGATCAAGTATCAGCAAAATTTTAATTCAAAGCCAATGTTCAAAACATTTTAAAGAAATTAGTCATGTAAAAAGTTAGAATACTTTATAATCATAAATTCTTGAATACTTAAAATAGAGATTTTAAAAGAATTAGATATTCACTTCAAACAATTGGAAAAACTATAAGATGTCCATCAAATAAAGAAAAAATACTAAATAATGTTAGAAAAAAAGACAAATTGATTAAAAACTGGATGTTTTTCATCACTACTAAAAAAGCAAATGCAATTTCTGCTTCTCTGGAGAACAGTAATTCTTAAGAGAAGGTTTTAGCCATAATAATAAAAAACATAAGGGGAGTATGATTTTATAAAGTTGTAACTTAGAATGGACAAATAATTACAGATTCAGAGGAAATTCAAATATAGAAACTAAATATGTTGATTTTTTTTGAAATATATTTAAGACGCTGGAGAGATGAAAACTTTTCTAGAAAAATACAGCCTAACAAAAGTAACTGCCTGTTGGGTGGGAAGTCTAACATGATCAATGACCACATGAGAAATTTAGAAGATGTCAAAGAACGGCCAACCAACCAGGGCTATTTAGTTTCACAAGTGAATTCTATCAAAACTTCAAGGAACATTTAACCACTAGGCTCCTTTTATGTAGCAAATATACTACTTCCATAAAAATCCTGAAAAAGATAACAAAGAAGGAATCTGCAGACCATTAAAGACGTAAATCACTGAGACTGAATTTCTCCCAGGAGTGCAAGAATGATTCAGTCTATTTGAGAATCTAGTAAAAATTTGATTATCAATGTGTCCAAAGATAGGAGGAAAACTATGATTTCTTTGCAATATAAAAATTCTTAATACAAATGTGACTTTCTTAATATATTTCTCAACCTTATATTTAAAGGAGCAACACTTAAGAAATATCATTTTACATAAAAAACAATTTCAGGATACCCACTGTATTAGTCCCTTCTCACACTGCTATAAAGAACAGCCTGAGACTGGGTAATTCACAAAGAAAAGAGGTTTAATTGACTCACAGTTCTGCATGGGTGGGGAAGCCTCAGGAAACTTACAATCATGACAGAAGGGGAAGCAGTCACATCTCACATTGTAGCAGGTGAGAGAGTGTTTGTAGAAAGCAAAGGGGAAAAGAGCCCCTTATAAAACCATCAGATCTCCTGAGAACTCACTTACTATCAAGAGAAAAGCATGGGGGAAACTGCCCCCATGATCCAATCACCTCCCACCAGGAGATTGGATCAACACCTGGGGATTATAATTCAAGATCAGATTTGGATGGGGACACACAGCCTATCCATATCAGTCACTAATGCTAATTTGATTCATCATAGTTCTAAAAGTTATTATCAGTGAGATTTTACAAGTAACAGTAATGAAGTGAAATATAAGGAAAAAGCCAAATCATCATTGTTTGCATATGATAGAAAAGCTGAATGATAAAAGCTAAGAAAACCTACTTGTCATATAGGATAAATTAAACAAATACACTGATTAAAATCAGTATACAAAACCCAACAAGTTTTATATACACACAACAACTTAAATTATATTTAAGGAAACACTTGATGTGCAATAAAGATAAATGTAAGGTACTTAGAAATAAACGAAACAAAGTCTATCGATGTGCATAAAATAAAATGAGTAAATATAAAATATGCCTCTGTTTGAATATTACAAAATTATTTACATGCTGTAAATGATAATAATGAAAATCATTTATTCTATAATTATTTTTAGATTAAATGCTATTATTTAAAATTGTCTTTTTTTTAAGTTGGTCAGGTTGATTTTAAGAGGCAATGACATTAATAAGTGATATTAATAAAGTGCTACTACTATAATAAGCATGAAACAATTACTGAGAAATTCCTGGCAGATGAGAGGAGCAGGCAAGAATATAATCTATAAGATACTAGAGATACTAATGGACAGTATTTTTAAAAATTTGGACTAGTTTTTGAATATATAAATAGTTTAATGAAATGGACTAGATATTTCGTAAACAAAACTAGATGCATATAGGAATCTTAAAAAATGATGTCAGTATTTCAAAGCAGTGGGATAAGGTGGATTGTTAAAAATTAATGATATAAGTAGATGTGGCTACATAATTTGTGAAGCCAAGTGAAAAATGAATCATGGGGCTTCTTTTTCAAAAATTATTAAGAATTTCAAGATGGAAAGACAGAAATAGCAGTGTTAAAACAAGCATGGGTCTTTTTTAGTGTGGGGCTCTATTTGACTGCACAGGTTGTACATCTATGAGTAGGCCCTGATCAAAATAACTTCCAGATAAATCAATATTCTGATCATTAAAAATAAAGCTGCCAAAGTTCTCAAAGAAAAAAATGATATGTTGCATGTACAATCTTGTAGAAGAAATTAACCAATATCAAAACCAATCAACTCTAGAGGAAATGATAATTACACTTGTATAGACAAAAATTATTTAATTTTGTACAGGAAAACATAGCACATTGTTTTTAAAAATAATGAACCAGGACAAAAATTTCCAACAGTTATAGCAAGAAAATTTCATTATAAGAAACCGTTACCAATCAATATAATGAAAGCAAATTTCGTAGCAAAGTAGGCAAAGGATGTGAACAGACTATCTCCTGATACAGAAACGCACTTAAAAACATTTCAAAGGTATGCTCAGTCTCACTTTATAATTAAATAAATAAAAACGTAACAGTGGAGAACTTTTAAAACAACTAGATTATCAAGGATCAAGCAATTAAACATCATGCAGCTTTATCTTAGTTAGGTGTAGGAAGTCTTTCAAAAATGTTTCAACAATCAATATATCCAGTAGATTATATACTTACCATACTTACCAAAATTTAAAATGCACACACTATTCCACTCTGCAATTCTACTTTTATGTGTGTAGGCAACTTAAACACTTGCATGTGTAAAGAAAGATGTATTATACCATGTTTACTGTAACAGCGAACAATTGGAAACTGTTTATAAAGCTATCATTGACACATACCTTAATTGAACTGTGATATATTTGTGATACAACACTCTCCAAATATTTTAAAAAATGTATTAATAGTTGTTAGTATGAGAAGACCTACAACATACATTCCTCAATGGAAAAACAAGCTACTTAAAGTTGCGTGTAGCATGCATTATCTTGTAAACCTTATATATGGTATATAGGGAGAACATGAGTGTAAAAATTAAGTATAGAAATTAATATGTATCTATATTTTCTGAAAGGATTCAAAAACCTTAAAATAGGTTGCTTGTAATTATGGAAGACAGTTACTTTTTAATACACAAATTACATGCATTTTTTGTCATGTGTATATTTGTTACTATTTGAATACATAAATATTATTGAATATATATACGCGCATGTATGTGTATTTAATTGAGTGGCTTATTTTACACTAAACTCTATTAAAGGATCTAGGAAAGTGTTTAGTAATTTTGCACCTGCTAGAAGTATTAGTACAATCTTTCTATATCAGCAGTAATCTCCACAGCCACTTTGGGAGGTAGTCGCTAGCATGACTTTAGATAAGACATGTGAGGCTACAAAAGTAGGCTCTGGACTCAAATGCTTGTTTCATTGGATCCAGAGGAGACATAATTTTAATTTATACATTTGCATCTTATGGCATGAAGCATTTAAGTGTAGACTTCCTTTACCTCTATCCATCTGATGAGTGTAATTTCCTTAGATGTTTTTTTACATCAAGATAAAAATAAGAGTTTTCAATTCTTTTTCTTAGGCATTTGAACCATAATGTGGCTGAAAGGTTGTATATGTTTTGATAGAAAAGTATCCTTAAAATTAAGAGGACTGTAACAAGTGGAAGAAATAAGGAAGTGACAGAAAAATTCTATATCAGGCAAAAAACAAAAATCACAACAGTTATTTTTAGCAGAGATAATTTAAACAAGATAGTGTTAGTTTCGTGTAGGATGTTAGCCATGCAATAGGACAAGAAGCAAACATGAAGCTATTATAGAGGTTGCATCTGCAGAGAGCAGCTCCCATCTCCGGTGCTGGGAAACAAAGGAAAGCTGGATTATTTAAAACTGAGAAGCTTAGAGGAGTGGCCCCATAGACCTGAAACTCAGATCTCTGGAAGAGGTGTTGCTTGATTGGTGGTGGCATTTCTGAGCCCCAAAGAGGTTCTCCATGGAGTTGAGACCTGTCAGGAGAAGAGCCTCAGCCTCAATACTGGTGTCTCAGAGGGTGCAATGAGGCTGATTCAGCAAGCCTTGGAAAAGTGCCTGCTGGGTTTAATGCTGCTAAGAAAAGGAAGTGCTGGGTGAGAAGGCATGGCTGAGATGAAGACGCCCCAGGACGGAAGCAAATTGGAGAAAAAGCATTCCTTTTTTTCATCTCATAACCTTGCAGGCATCTTTTGGCAGAGATACAGTTTGCTGAGCATGATGAATATAACATAAAAAGGTATGTCTAGATCTCAAAAACTTAATAACTGGCAGAGACCCAGATGGGAGAGCTTGAAAATGTTTCAAAGATATTTGCCAGTTTTCCAATTTGCCCAAAGTTAACCTCACTGGGCAATCTATGGCAGGAAGGAGAGCAGAAACAATAAGGACCCTATCTCATCACCAACCTTCCTTTTGTCCTTTTGTTTAAAAAAAAAAATATATATATATATATATATATATATATATATATATATATATATATATATGAGACAGAATCTCACTCTGTTTTCAGGCTGCAATTCGGTGGTGTAATTATGGTTCACTGCAGCCTCAATCTTTTGGGTTGAAGTGATCCTCCCACCTCAACCTCCCAAGTAGCTGGGACTACAGGTGTGCATCACCATGTCTGGATTTTTTAATTTTTTTAACTTTTATTTTTTTTTTGTAGAGACGGGTCTCACACTTGCCCAAGCTGGTCTCAAACTCCTGGCCTTGAGTGATCCTCCTGCCTCGACCTCTCAAAGTGCTGACGTCACAGGCCATAAGTCTCAGCGCTCAGCCCCAACCTTTCTTAACAATGTGTACTAGGATAAGACAACAAAATGTTTCTTACATGATGCCATGTACACCAATTAAAGTATTTAGATTGAAATTATTGAATTAAAGGAGCATTTCCTTTTCATCAATGAATTCCTTCAATCATTTGACAAATACTTGTTGGGTACATCTTATGTTCTAGGCTTCTGATTAAAAAACAGAGCTACACTAGTGAGGAAAAACAGGCATAATTCCTGTCATCATGAAGCTTAAACTCTAATGCCAGTGCCTGGCAATAATGCAGGCTAGAAAAGGAGATCAGACTTCCACTGAAAATAATTATACATTTTGTATTAAAAGTTAAAAGAAACTTATATGTATGATTAGGCTGGCAAGAAAGTAAGAAATATTTAGCCTAAAAACTAAGTGGAGGACGGGCGCCGTGGCTCACGCCCGTAATCCCAGCACTGTGGGAGCCCGAGGCAGGTAGATCACGAGGTCAGGGGTTCGAGACCAGCCCGACAAACATGGTGAAACCCCTTCTCTATTACAAATACAAAAATTAGCCAGGCGTGGTGGCGGGCACCTGTAATCCCAGCTACTCAGGAGGCTGAGGCAGGAGAATCACTTGAACCTGGGAGGCGGAGATTGCGGTGAGCCGATATTGCGCCATTGCACTCCAGCCTGGGCCACAACAGCGAAACTCCGCATCAGAAAAAAAGAAAGAAAGAAAGAAAGAAAAGAAATAAAAGAAGCTAAGTGGAAATAGAAACCAAAGATGTAAACAGCGCAGTGAAGCACCTTTTATCTTTGTGGCACTTAACTAAATCAAGCCTGGATCTCAAAGTTTTTCCAGCCTTTTGAGACCCAGAGGATAGTAGACAAAGTTTAGCAATTACCCAGGTAGGAGAATCTAACAGGGTCACCTCTTCTTTTCCAGCTGGGATCCTAGAATGCCCCAAATCTTCCTAATCCCTCTTAGCTCAGTGTCAAACTGAAGCTGAAATAAACCTGTCCATATGTCCTAAGAGCTTCACGGAAAATTCCTTGTATCTAACTTTAGAATTAACTTTAGAATTTAGGCTGGATCTGTTGGCTCATGCTTATGATCCCAGTACTTTGGAAGGCCGAGTAAAACAGTGAGACCTCTGTCTCTACAAAAAGTTAAAAAAAAAAAAAAAAAGCTGGGCATAGTGGCTGGCAACTATAGTCCTAGCTATGCAGGAGGCTGAGGTGGAAGGATTGACTGAGCCCAAGAGCTAGAGGTTGCAGTATCCATGATGGCACCATTGCACTCCAGCCTGGACAACAAAGCAATCTGCTGTCTCAAAAAAAAAAAAAAAAAAAAATACTAGCTGATGCTAGTGGGATGAAATTCCTCATGAAATTCACAAGCTAGCCCTCAAGAGCTTTGTAGCTTGACATTCTTCGAGAGCATTATTTTAGTTTAAACGTTTGTCAGAATTATACTGCTACTCATAACCTGGCAGAAGATATTGCAGATATTATATGAAGGAACTCACTTCTTTTTCAGGTCTTAAGAATTTTCTACAAATACGGATGTTGACAACTGGAGCATTTGAAATTTAAAAATTACTAAAAACACAAAGAAACTGGGCGCATTTGGAAGCAGTAATAGGAATAAAAAACAATACAGACAAACACACAAACGCTAAATATGTTGGTGTATAAAATGAACAATATGAAATATCTATGCTTAATGTATTTTAAGGAAACAAAATGCAATCTTGAAAACAAGAGTGTCAAATGAACTATAAAAAATTATCAGTGAGATTATTTTAAAGTACCAAACAAAACTTCTAAAAAAGGCAAACTCAGCAGTGGGAATTTTAAAGTGGATTTTAATTTAAATTAGACTTCACTGAAGAAAAAAATTAATAACATCAAATTTAGATCTAATGTAAGAGAAAGTTCAAGAGCCAAAAAGCAAAGAAGTCAAACATCCATCTCAGTGGAGTAACAGAAAGGGAAAAGATAGAGAACGAGGCAGAGAAGCACTTGAAAAGATGATGTCTGAGAATATTCCAGAACTGGTGAAATTCCCTAGCTACGACTGACAGTGCCAAAATAATTCAAATTAGAATGAATAAAATGCCATACACACCAAAACATATCACCCTGAAATGTAGGAAAGGTGACAACTTTTAGAGCACCCTGAGGAAAAAGATCAATCACAAACCAAGTGTGAACAAATTTAAACCATATTGTAATTAAAAGAAAAAAACAACAACTGTAAGAAGAAAAAACCTCATGGAGTTAATAATTAAATGACATATTTTAAATATATATGAAATATAGCATATGATCCAAGAGGGGATGAATAGGGACAATTGGTTCCAAATTGGTCCTGGCTGGAGTAGGATGATGACATTGATTGATGTTAGACTTGTAATCACCAGAGAAATGGAAGTAAAAAGTATAAATTGAAAATTAGTATATTAGAATTTTACAAAAAATAAAATTATAAATTCAAATGGTAGAAAGATATTCTAAAAGATAGACAACCAAAACACTTGCAGGGCAAATAGAAAGCACAAAAGAAGATAGTTGAAATAAACTCAAATAAATCATGAATTACAATATATGTAAATGAACTTGATGAAATTAAAAGATAAAGCTTGTTATAAACTATTTAATAATAGTTCATCTTTATATAGTTTACAAGACCTACACCTGAAATATAATCGTATCAAAGGTTGAAACAAAAGGGATATGAAAATTTTTCACCAAAAATATCCCAATTAATACAAAGCTGTTATTGCTCTTTAATACTGGATAAAATAGAGTGTAAGGGAAAAAATTGCTAGATATTTCATAATGATGCATTTTAGTGTACTTGGAACATGTAATAATAACAAATATTAAAATATATGAATACAATTAATACTTATAACGGTAGCATGCATTTAATAACACATCCTAGAAATGTATGGCAAAATTTGACAGAACTCTTAGAAATAGACACATTAATAATCACAGAGGGAGAGTTTAATAGACCTCCTTCACTAATAGATAAAGCAGGTGAATATCAGTAATGGTATAGAATATTTAAATATTATGGTAAGAAACATAATCATAAATACATATATAACTGAACCTCACAACTGCATAGTGAACATTTTAATCAATTATAAATGGTCCATTTATATAAAGTTGCTAATGTTTTGGATTATTAAGCAAGTCTCAACTAATTTCAAAGGATTAGCATTATGTAGATCACATCTCTTTTCTCTCTATATTTGAGAAATTTACATACATTTTGAAACTAAGAAAAACACTTCTAAATAACTCAAAAATTACAGGAGAAATTATAATAAAAATCAGAAAAATCTAGAACTGGACATCAGTGAAAATACTTAACAGTGGGTAGTTAAAATGTTTATTTATCAGCAAAATTATATCTTTAAGTGCTATACTAGAAAATGGTAAAATGTAATAAGCTAAGCCTCAAACATAAGGAAATTATTTAGAAAGAAAAAAATGCTAACAATGAGGGAAGGGAGTGAAATGAGAGCAAATAAAATAAAAGAATCAAACAACAAAAGGAACCACAGATACAAATGCTCTTTCTTGTCAAGATAAATAGACTAAGATAAATAGTCATGACTGATCAAGCAAAAAGAAAAGGCAATAGGATACAAATAAACAACATTAGGAATCTGAAAATATTGCAAACACAAATGTAAAATAAATAGGATAAATAAAACACTAATTTAATAAAAACACATAATTACAAGAATGTATAAATATGTATGATATATTTAATACATATAGGTTATATTCTAAAAGTATACTGTGATAGTAGGGAGTATGTGACCACCAAATATCTTTATACCCTAATCCCTGAAGCCTGTGAATATGTTACCATATATTGCTAAAAAGGATCTTAGATGAAATAAAAATAGGGAGATTACTTCAGGTTATCCAGAATGGACCCAATATAATCATTTGGGTCCTTAAAAGTGGAAGAGGAGGGCAGAAGAGTATGTCAGAGAGACTTGCTGATGGAACAAGAGGTGGGAGAAGTTTGAATTATAAAGGGGAGACTGATCCACCACTGCTGGATTAGAAGATGAAGGAAGGGGGCATGAACATGGAAGCTTAGTCCTAAAACTGCAAAGAACTAAATTTTGCAGACAATCTGAGTGTTCCAGGAAATTGATTCTCCCCTAGAGTCTCCAGAGACGAACTCAGCCCTGCTGACAACTTGATGTTAGCCTGGTGAGGCACATGGGACTTCCAACCCACAGGACTTAAAAATAATGTGTTTGTGCTGTTATAAAATGCTAAGTTTGTGATGATTTGTTATGGCAGTAAGAGAAAACTTTGTATATGTGTGTGTGTGTGTGTGTGTATGTGTATATATATATAAACTTTATATGTATATATATTTATATTTATAAATATAATACTTAGAAAACTTTGTGTGTGTGTATATAAACTTTATATTTATATGTATATAAACTTTATATGTATGTATGTGTGTGTGTATGTATGTGTGTATACACACACATACATACAAAGTTTATATATATACACACACACACACAAAGTTTTCTCTTACTGCCATATGTGTGTGTATATATATACACACATACATACATACAAAGTTTATATATATAAAGTTATATATACATACACACATACATATTCAAAATGTACACATTATATATGTATAATAAAATATCCATCAAATTACTTTATGAAACCATACACTATCATAGCTGAACATAACTGAAATTCACATGCATGACAAGAAGAATGCAATAATAGAAAATTACATGATAAACCCATTTGAAAGCTTAGTTATGAAAATACTGAATAAAATGGTAAAAAAGCTCATTCCACCAACACATAAAAAGACAATTCATCATACATAAATTAGGTTTATCCCAGAAATAAAAGTCGGTATAATTTTGAAAATCTATTCACTTAATATACTACATTTATAGATAAAAGAGAATATCCTCTTAATATAGGCAGTAAATAAATTGAACAAATTCAACATCTATTTGCAATAAAACCTCTCATCAAACTAGAAATAGAAGGGCAATTTCTTAATCTTATGAAAGATATGTACTAAAAACAACCAAGAGAAACATTAAGAAGTATCTGTAACAACCTATTAAGAATATTTTTAATAGTACAAACAACACTAAGGTGCCTATACCACCATTTCTATTGATCATTAACCTGTATATTCTCACCAGTGCAATAAGTCAATGGGGCAGGCAAAGTATAAGGAATAGAAAGGAGACAACAACTTCTGATAGTGTCTTTTGTTTTCATGGCGTTGCAAATGTTTTCTCCCTGTCTCTCACTTGTCTTCATTTCCTAAATAGTGTCTTTTGAAGTGCAAAAATTTTAAATCTTAATGAAGTCCAATTTGTCTTCTTTTAATTCTTTTATGGATCTTTCTTTTGGTGCTATATCTAAGTCTTGACCAATGCACGACATAACAATTTTTCCACAGAAATGTTTGCTCTAATTTTTACTTCTCTAGTTGATACTATTATTTTCCCCATTTTACAAATGTGGCTTAGAGATGTAAGTGATAACCAGAAATCACATGGTGAGTAATTGGTAGAGCCAGGATTTGAAATCTGGCATTCGGGCACTAGCCCCTCCGCTTTTCAACACCGGGCAACACTGCTTTGTTCATACTGTATATCTGCTCTACACACACATATATATATGACATTTTCGAGATTTAAAAAATGGCAGTAATCACGCAGATGTGCAGTTTAGAAATCCACATACTAGGCAACCATCTCTACTCTTCATGCACTCTTCATGAATATGGAAATAGAGCTAGTTTAAACATCTTTTAAAATCCTGACTTTGCACTGAATATTTACTGCTGCTTTGATGCAAAACGAACACTCCCCTCTCAGTTGTCTGGTGTCTGTTTAAATTCCTGCCTCATCTCTAGGTCAGTAGACCCCTGACTCCACTTTCAATAGCATTCATACCCATTTCAGAGGCAGGAAATGCTGCTCGCAGGTGTGTGATTCTCCCTTTTTTATTGATATAAACATTTGTGCATATTTATGGGGTACATGTGATATTTTATGACATGCATAGACTGTGTAAAGATCAAGTCACAGTATTGGGGGTGTCCATCATCTCGAGTGTTTTCATTTCTATGTACTGAGAACACTTCAGGTTCTCTCATCTTGATATTTTGAAATATACAATACATTGTTGTTACCTATAGTCACCCTATTCTGCGATTGAACATTAGAACTTATTCCTTCTATCTAACTATGTGTACCCATTAACCAAAGTCTCTTTATCCTGCCCCTACCTGCACACCTTTCCCAGCCTTTGGTATCTATCATTTTACTCTCTAGTCTCCATGAGATCATCTCTTTTAGCTCTCACATATGAGTGAAAACACATGATATTTGTTTTGCTGTGCTGGCTTATTTCACTTAACGTAATAATCTCAGTTTTGTCCATGTTGCTGCAAATAACATGGTTTCATTCCTTTTTTATGGCCAACTAGTATTCTATATTATTCTATTAGGTATAATATTTAGCCCATTTCTTTTATACATTCATCCATCGATGGACAGTTAGGGGAAACACTTCAGGACATTGGTCTAGGCAAAGATTCTATGGATGAGACCTAAAACGCACAGGCAACAAAACCAAAAATAGACAAATGGGAATGTATCAAACTAAAAGAAGCTTCTGCACAGCAAAGGAAACAATCAACAGAGTGAAGAGACAACCTATTGAATTGGGTGAAATATTTGCAAAGTATTCATCTGACAAGAGACTAATATCCAGAATATATAAGGAATGCAAACAATTCAACAGTAAAAATAAAAATCTTACTAAAAAGTTAGCAAAGGACAAGAATAAACCTTTCTCAAAAGAAGATATACAAATGGCCAGCAGGTGTATGAAAGATGTTTAACATCACTAATTATCAGGAAAATATAAATTAAAACTACAATGAGATATTCCTCCATACATGTTAGATGGCTATTACAAAAAAGACAAAACAAGCATATACTGGCAAGGATGCAGATGAGAGGGAGGAGCTCTAATACACTGTTGGAGGAAATGTAAATTAGTACAGCCACTATGGAAAACAATATTTGACAGAGCAATCTCGCTACTTGGTATTTATCCAAAGGAAAGGAATCAGCATGTTAAAGGGATACTTCCACCTCCATGTTTATTACAGAACTATGTTATTATTCTGGTTTTTTTTTCCTGATCAGCTTTTATTGCCTGGACAATCTTATTCGCTAGTATTCTGAGATGTGAAGTGTAGGGTAAAAGAGATAGTTGGGAGGACTTGGTTTAATGTCCAGGAGCTATAATCTAGTGAAGGAGACAGATTCTCTAAAAAGCTCTCTGTTCCTCTCACAAGCTTTGTGGTGTGAGTCACCACTTAATTCTTAAGGGTCTTCCCAGAACCATAACATTCTACAGTTATAAACCATGACCTATAATAGAGGTACAGTATGTAGGAAGAAAAAATTGATTTTAAGTGGGAAGATCCCAGAAACCTTTATGGAGGTGATATTTGAGCTGTGACAGATACTTACAGCCCCCGTTATTACTTCTCAGGCCCATTTTCTCATACAGACCTTAAGAAACATTAAAAGTTTATTGCTAAGCAGATCCTATGAAGCTGCACCATGGCCTGTCTTCTTGACTTTATAGGACTTTAATGAGATTAATGGCTTGATGGATCACTGTGCTTTGATGATAAATAATAATAAAGTCCAGGGATGTGACAATTCTTATGTTATCCTTGATTCATATAGAAACCTTTATTTTATTCTCTTTTTTCCCTCCCACTCCAAGTAAAGGCCAAATCAGTAAAAGGTCAAGCTGACTGGTATGGATTATTATAATATTGTTCTCAACCTATCCAGAGATCAATAGTAGATGTCATCATCCATTTTCCTGAAACATAGACACTAACTTCATTATCCTAATATATTAAAGAAAGAAGAACCTGAGCTATACTAATTTCATACTGCTCTTCTCGCGACTATCATTTGAACTTTACAATATCTGTGCATTAAAATGGTTTATAGTAATTTCTTACTGGAGCAGCTTTAGGATAAAAACTGATTCAAGCCTCCCAATTTACTTTGATGGATGTGTGAGTTTCAGATTTATGTCTTTAAGAAAAGACCACAAAATTATATCCTCTTTAGAAACCCTAGAAAAAGAGTAATGTCCACAACACATATCTTTCCTAAGCTTCTTGGTTTCTAAATACAGACACTGATCAAGATAATCATTGTGATTGAGAAGCACCTGTAAACAGCTCCTTCTCTGGTCATATCTACAATTTCTCAGGTCTTCTGGCAAGATAAGCAATTTTGGTAAGCATGAAAATAAAAAGTGTAAACTATTTAACCCATGTCTGTCTACAGTCATATCAGAACAGGATCTGTGATTTATTAACTATATGACAGAGCCAATGATTGAACATATCCAAAATCTGATAACTTTCTTTGTAATGTTGGGTCTAACATCTACTTTGCAAGCTTTTTGAGAAGAAGAAATATAAATCTGCCTATTTAAGTGCCTAGAAAACACATGGTATCTGCTCGATACAGTTTGAATTTGCTTGGATTACAGATCAGAGATTTCAAAGGTTTGTTGGGCTCAATCCAAACATCTTAACAACTATAGAGTGAACATATTATACAGAATGTAATGTAATATTTAATGTATTAAAACTCTCCGTATGTAGGATGTCGTAGTGATTAAAACATATGCCAAAACAATTCACTGCAATATACTCTAGAGGATGTTTTCCCTTTTACAACAAAATTTCCAGCTTTCATAATTTACTACCAAAGCAAAGAGAGCTTACTGCTTTAAAAAAAACCAGGTGGCTCCGCCCTCCGGGCGCGAGGCCCGGGTGGGCCAGAGAGGCAGGTCCTCGTCCCTCGGGCCCGTGGCGCTGTCGTGGATGAACCCTCTCTTTGGGTCTGTATTGGGACCCCTTTCCAGTACCATTTTTTCTAGTGAACCACGAAGGGACGATACCAGAAAACACCCTCAACCCAAAGGAAATAGACTACAGCCCCAATTGGCTGACTTTGGCTATAGAAAAAAGAAAGGAACGAAAAGAGACAGTTTTTTTTGGAAAGCTAAGTCTTCCCTTTATCGAGTCAAGAAACCCCCACTTCTTGAGCTATTTACAGCTTTTAACAATTGAGTAAAGTACGCTCCTGTAAGGATTATAAAACAAAGTTTTGTCCAAAAAAAAAAAAAAAAACCATAAAATGGTTCAACTGTTAAATTGTATAGAAATCTTTACACAAGAAGCAGGATGCAGTGGTGTGTGCCTGTAGTCCCAACTACTCGGGAGGTTGAGGCAGGAAGATTGCTAGAGTCCAGGAGTTCCAGTACAGCTTGGGCAATGTAGTGACACCTATCTCTAAAACAATTGTTTAAAACAATCTTCAAAGAAAAGAATAAAGTTGAGCCTCACTTAAAAATAGTCTTCACACCTCTGAATCACCACTATACTCAACCTTGAGGAATTAGTTGCATATTACAACTTACATAATGTATCTTATGTCTCTCAATGACTATAATCCCTTGCCACCAGGATTGATGTCTGATTCTCTTTATATACTCTATAAACCTAGCAGGTAACCTTGCACACATTTAATGAATAAATCAATTTATTAGGAGGTGATGAATCACAGCAACATTATATACATTAAATCAATGCAATGCCTTATTCTAGAAAACAATGAAATCCTTGTCCCAGTTTTTTTTTTTATTTTTCTAGAGACAGATCTATTTTAGAAGACGAACCACCAACCATCAGATCATGGAGTAGATTTACAACAGGACTTGTAAGCATTTTCCTGGAATTCCTGGCATACCAAATAATTATTTAAAATTGTTATTACAGAGCATATTTTAACAAGGAGATAAAACAAACGGAATACATTTTAAATACCAGCGCTAGAATGATGGAGCCACTCAAGTTTGTCTTGTAAGAAAATATCTAAATGCTTCATTTGTTAAAAAAATGACTTTGGAAGAAAATGAAATGAGAAAGGCTGCCGCATATAAGAGAACTAGCATTTTGTGTGGCCCTAAGAGGCAGGCCCATTCCCTGTAGGTTAGGATTTATAGAGAGGCACATGTAGACATACTTTGACAGAACTTAAGTACCTTCTCACAGACAAAGCCGCACAGTGAAGAAATGTGCTGTTTCTGGGACTTCTGGTATTAAACGTAGAGGAGACATGGTGATAGAAATCCAAGATTTCCATGAGTAGTTTAAACATTTTTTTCCAACACAGTAATCTGTGCATCCATGATTCATAGTAAGAGGTTATTTTAACACTTTGGGCTCTAGTACGACATGAGATTAAGTATTAATGAACTAGATTAATGAGAGGAAAAGTGAGTAGGGAGAGGAGGCTAGAGGACCTCTCACTGAAGCTGAATTTTCTAATTTTCTTCCATGTTCTGCTAATCAGGGACTCATAGAAGCTTCTCTGTTTTGAGTGTGTGTGTGTGTGTGTGTGTGTGTGATGTTTTCTTTTTGTTTTGCTTTTGGAGGGAGGGTATTGTGGGAAAGCTTTGTTGTATTTTTTGTAAGTGGTTAAAAATGCAACTCTGACATTCATTTGATTGGCAAAAGAACTGAGAAAATTAGGTAGCTTTATGATTCTACCTGGTGGCTTGAATGCTCCATATTTTAAAAGTAGTGATCTCCCGCCAATGGTATTCATTAACAATGTCTCAAAGGAAGTAGTGCCATCTACTGTGCTGCCAGCAATCATTCTTGTTGAATTTCTTTAGAGCCATCTAATCTAAGTATTGACCAATGCCTTGTTTCACTGATGAGATTTGACAAGAGCTAAGCCCAGAGTGTCGTGGCTTCCTACAGAGTAGCAAGAACTCTGATCTAATTAATCTCGACTGGCTCAGCTCTGGAAGTAGATATATATCATAAAGCTCTACTCCAATTGTGCATCTCAAAGAGATATTGTATGTTACAAAGTTATCTGGGATCAAAGACTATTTAAGATGGATTTTTGAAATTTTCTAGGGTTTAAAGTGACTCAAATAAATAAAACCAATAAAAACACAAACAATAAAAATTCAGTTAGGAAATATTCTGTGGACAGAAAGCAAAGTCAATATACTGTACTTCTCCTGTAATAGGCAGTATAGTTGCTCGTTTACTGTCGAACAAGAATTAAGTGCCAATCCAATTTTTCTCTAATAAGATATTCCATAAAATATCCATTAGGATATTTCAATATTTGAATCAATTGAGCATATAGTAGTTATAAGGGTAACATTTGAGGATGGTAATATTTTTTGCGCTTAACATAAATCATTTGATAACTTTGATAAAAATCATTTTGGTGTTAAAAAGTCATTTAAAAAATTCTATCCTGAATGGTAAAATCAGACATATTTCCTCCTGCTGTCATAAGTCTTGACATTCATTCCTTCCACACTTGATACTGGATTTTAGTTTCCACTTTTATATATTATATCTTGGGAAGATAATTTGAAAAAAATTGGATACTGGAAAAGAGTTAACAAATTCTGTAATAAGATTGCAGAACAAACGGAAATAAAGAAGATGGTTTGGAGTGTATGATAAGTGTTAATGTTATCAAGAGAGAAAAGAGCTCTTTTGGTGGCATTCCACACTTTCATTTTTGCCATTAACCAGGATAAGGTCAAGGTAAGTATTTAAAAACACATCTTATTCATAAAGTATTGAACCTAGAAAATAAAATATCTAGAACATGATGCATTTACAATTATCCCCCGGGAAGAAAATACCTTCCTGATAGTGTGCAAACACTTTGACTGTATCATTTTTATCATTTAATAAATTAGACAAAATTAGCCTTATGGCATAAATTATGCCAAGTCGTTTCTATTCTGGTGTCTACTACGTTAATTTGCTAAGGTCTTCTTTTGAAACCAACTAAATCAAGGAAAATAAGAAATAGAATATGACTTGACACTGTAAAAGTTTTCTTCCATAAGTTGATAATATGAAACATCTTCCTTACTAATTTAGAAGGAAGCACTGATATGAAAACTTTCCTTGGGGTGCTAATACAGAGCAAAAGCTGATCAGCAATCACTGACCTGCTCAGAGACATGCTATGCTGATCCCAAATACAATTCTACTAAAAATATCACATCGCCTCCAAAAGTTCAGGTATAAAAAAGCAAATGTTGTCCATTGTATCTTGTAATGAGAGTGGACTTGGGCAGAAAATTTCACAAGAATTTTATGAATGAAATCTTGGAAATTCAGATCCTGTTGATCATCAAAAGGGACTGTGTCAATCAAAATCAACTGACAAATTCCATCAGCTTGTAACTGGCTGAATCAAGAAGTCCTTCCTCACAGACTCTATTTCATTAAAAAGTTTGAGCTGCATGGGCCCCGCCAACTCGCCGACATTTCAAGATCTGTTCCAAATTATAGCCTACAATTTATTCCAGTTACTTTTAATTTTGTTTAACTCCAGGGATATGGTCCCATCTGATTTATACCACATTCTAATCCCTTGCTACACAAAGAGAGATCCATGAGCGAGCATTATGGGCATTCCCTGAGAAATTACTAGAAATGCCAAATCCCAGGACATACCACAGATCTACTGTTTCAGAATTTGCATTTTAAATAAAATCCCCCAGCAGTGTCTATGCACATTTGGGAAACACTGACCTAATCTTTACATATTTAATTTGTACACACACACACACACACACACACACACACACATACATACATAATACACATCTTACATTGGGTTTATTGAGGTACATTTAACAGAAAATAAATTCACCTTTTTAAGGTTTACAGTTCTATGAGATTTGACAAATGTGATTCAGTCAAGAAACCAGCACTATGTTAACGAAATTGAATATTTTCATCACTCCATAAAGTTCTTTCATGCTGGTTTGCAGTTAAACACTTCCTCCCATCCCCATCCCCTGGCAACCACTAACCTGTTTTTTTTATTTCTATAATTTTGTCTTTCCAAATATTGTACATAAATGAAATCATTGAATATGTAGCCGTTTTTGTGCAGGACTTTTTCATTTAGCAATCATTTCTGAAGTTGTATATATCAGTGGATGCTTCCATTGTATCTCCAAGTGTTGTTCCAGTGGATAAGTGTACTGCAACTTGTTTATCCATTTACCCATTCAGCATGAAAATTTGAGTTGGCTACACTTGGTGATTCTGAATAAAGACTTTATTAAAATGTGTATACAGGTCTTTGTGTGGATATATGCTTATGTTTGTCTTGGGTAATTACCTAGGGATGAGTCATTGGTTAAGTTCATGCTTAACTTTATAAGATATGACCAAGCCAAACTGTTTTCCAATGGGGCTGTAACATTTTGCATTCCCACCCAAAATGTTGAGAGTTATCTCCTCCGGTAATGAGTATTAGCAGATTTTGGCGGTTTTCTTTTAACCTTTCTAATAAGCGTCATTTGTCATTTTAAATTTACATTTTCCTAATGACTAGTGCTGCATACACATTTTTCATGTGATAATTTTCCATTTGTTTCTTTTTTTCATAAAGTGTTCAAATTCTTTGCCCATTTTTAATGCTTTTGACTTTTTTCTTCATATTTAGATATGAAAGTTCCTTATATATTCTGGATATAAATCTTTTTCAGTTATAAGTTATACAAATATTTTCTCCCCATTCTGTGTTATTATGTTGCTTTTCATTTCCCTAACTGAGTCTTTGGAAGAGCAGAGGTGTTTAATTTTGATAAAGTTCAACTCACTCTTTTTTTATTTTTTCTGTTTTGTGCTTTTGGAGACTTACATAAGAATTGTTATCCTACCATTAGGTTATAATATTTTCTCCTCTACTTTACCTAGGAATTTTATAATTTTAGGTTTTACACCAGATTCCTAATCTAATTTTGTTTAATTTTTAATTACTATGTGAAGTATTAGTGGAAGTCATTTTTTTACCCATAAACATCTATTTTTTTCCAACACAATTAATTGTGTTATGTCCCTTCTACATAAATTATCTTAGCACCATTGTCTGAAATTGAGCATACAGCTATGGGTC